>NC_000013.11:16000000-16022537 GCF_000001405.40 Homo sapiens
AGCATTCTGAGAAATTACTTTGTGATGTGTGCATTCATCACAAAGAGTTGAACCTTTCTTTTGGTTGAGCAGTTTTGAAGCACTCTTTTTGTAGAATCTGTAAGTGGATATTTGGAGTTCTTTGAGGCTTATGGTGGTAAAGGAAATATCTTCACACAAAAACTACACAGAACCATTCTGAAATACCTCTTTGTGATGCTTGCATTCATCTCACATAGTTGAACCATTCTTTTTATTGAGCAGTTTTGAAACAATCTCCTTGTAGAATGTGCAAGTGGATATTTGGAATGCTTTGATGAGTATGGTGGAAAATGAAAAATCTTCACATAAAAACTAGACAGAATTACTCTGAGAAACTTCTTTGTGATGTGCACATTCATCTCACAAATTTGAAAATTTCTTTTGATTGAGCAGTTTTGAAACGCTCTTTTTCTAGAATCTGCCAGTGGTTATTTGGAGTGCTTTGAGTCCTATGGTGGAGAAGGAAATATCCTCACATAAAAACTAGAGAGAAGCATTCTGAGAAACTTCTTTCTGATGTGTGCATACATCTCACGGAGTTGAAACTTTCTATTGATTTAGCATTTTTTATACACTTTTTGTAGGATCTGCAGTTGCTATTTGGAGCCCTTTGGGGCCAATGGTGGAAAAGTACTATCTTCTCATAAAAACTAGACAGAAGCATTCTGAGAAACTTCTTGGTGATGTGTGCATTCATCTCACAGTAGTTGAACCTTTCTTTTGATTGAGCAGTTTTGAAACGCTCTTTTCGTTGAATCTGCAAGTGCATATTTAGAGTGCTTTGAGGCACGTGGTGGAAAAGGAAATATCTTCACATAAACACTAGACAGAAGCATTCTGAGAAATGTCTTTGTGATGTGTCCATTCACTTCACAGAGTTGAAACTTTCTTTTCATTGAGCAGTTTTGAAACACTCTTTTTATAGAATATGCAAGTGGATATTTGGAGCGTTTTGGAGAGAATGGTGGAAATGGAAATATCTTCATATAAAAACTACGGAGAAGCATTCGGAGAAACGGCTTTGTTATGTGTGACTTCAGCTCACACAGTTGAACCTTTCTTTTGATTGAGCATTTTTGATTCCCTCTTTTTGTAGAATCTGCAAGTGGATATTTGGAGAGCTTTAGGGCCTACGGTGGAAAAGGAAATATCTTCACATAAAAACTACACAAAAGCATTCTGAGAAACTTCTTTCTGATGTGTGCATACAACTCACAGAGTCGAAACTTTCTTTTGATTGTGCAGTTTTGAAACACTTCTTTTGTAGAATCTGCAAGTGGATATTCAGAGGGCTTTGTGGAGTATAGTGGAAAAGGAAATAACTTTGGATAAAAGCTAGACAGCAGAATTCTGAGAAACTTCTTTGTGATGTGTGCATTCAACGTACAGAGTTGAACCTTTCTTTAGATTTGGCAGTTTTGAAACACTACTTTTGTAATATCTGCAAGTGGATATTTGGTGACCATTGCAGCCTATGGTGGAAAGGCAAATATCTTCACATAAAAACTAGACCAAGGCATTCTGAGAATCTTCTTTGTGATGTGTGCATTCTTCTCACACAGTTCAACTTTTCTTTTGATTCAGCAGTTTGGAAACAGTATTTTTCTACAATCTGCAAAGGGATACTTCTTAGCCGATTTAGGCCTATGGTGAATTAGGAAATATCTTCACATAAAAAATAAACAGAAACTTTCTGAGAAACTTCTTTGGGATGTGTGTTTTCATCTCACAGAGATGAAACTTTCTTTTGATTGAGCAATTTGGAAACTCTCTTTTTGTAGGATCTGCAAATGGATATTTAGAGTGCTTTGAGGCCTGTGGTGAAAAAGGAAATATCTCCACATAACAACTAGACAGAAGCATTCTGGGAACATCTTTGTGATGTGTGCATTCATCTCACAGAGTTGAACCTTTCTTTTGATTGAGTAGTTTGGAAACAGTCTTTGATAGTATCTGCAGAGAGATATTTGTGAGCATTTTGAGGACTTTGGTGAGAAAAGAAATATCTTCATATAAAACCTAGTCAGAAGCATTCTGAGAAACTTCTTTGTGATGTGTGCATTCATCTGACAGAGTTGAAACTTTGTTTTGATTGAGCAGTTTGGAAACAGTCCTTTTGTAGGATCTGCAAAGGGATATTTCTGAGCCCATTGAGACCTATGGTGAAAGAAGAAATATCTTCACTTAAAAACTAGACATAAGCATTCTGAGAAACTTCTTAGTGATGTGTGCTTTCATCTCACAGGTTTGAACTTTCTTTTGATTGAGCAGTTTGGAAACAGTGTTTTTGTAGAATCTGCAAAGGATATTTTGAGCGCTTTGACGCCTATGGTGAAAAAGGACATATCTTCACATGAAATCTAAACAGAAGCTTTCTGAGAAACTTCTTTTTTATGAGTTCATACATCTCACAGAGGTGAAACTTTCTTTTCATTGAGCAGTTTGGAAACAGTCTTTTTGTACAGTCTGCAAAGGAAATATCTGCGAAGTTGGAGGCCTATGGTGAAAAAGAAATATCTTCAGATAAAATGTAGACAGATGTATTCTGAGAAAATTTTTTGTGATGTATCCATTCATCTCACAGAGTTGAAATTTTCTTTTGATGGAGCAGTCTGGAAACAGTCTTTTTGTAGTATCTGAAGAGGTATATGTGAGAACAGTTTAAGGCCTCTGGTGGAAAAGGAAATATCTTCACATAAAACTAGGTAGAAGCATTCTAAGAAACTTCTTTGTATTGTGTGCATTCATCTCAAAGACTTGAACCTGTATTTGGACTGAGCAGTTTGGAAACTGTCGTTTTGTAGAATCTGTGAAGGGATATTTCTGAGCCCATTGAGGCCTATGGATGAAATAGGAAATATCTTCACATAAAAACTAGACAGAGGATTTCTGAGAACCTTCTTTGTCATATGTGGTTTCATCTCACAGAGTTGAACCATTCTTTTGGTTGAGCAGTTAGGAAACAGTCTTTTTGTAGGATCTGCAAAGAGATATTTCTGTTCCCATTGATGCCTATGGTGAAAAAGGACATATCTTCACATAAAAACTAGACAGAAGCTTTCTGATAAACTTCTTAGTGATGTGTGCTTTCATGTCACAGATTTGAAACTTTCTTTTGATTGATCAGTTTGGAAACAGTCTTTTTGTAGAATCTGCAAATGGATATTTGGAGTGCTTTGAGGCCTATGGTGAAAAAGGAAATACCTTCACATGAAATATAAACAGAAGCTTTCTGAGAAACTTCTTTTTGATGCGTGCATACATCTCACAGAGTTGAATATTTCTTTTCATTGAGCAGTTTGGAAACAGTCTTTTTGTACAATCTGGAATGGGATATTTCTGAGAAGTTGGAGGCCTATATCGAAAAAGAAATAGTATTCTGAGAAACTTCTTTGAGATGTATCCTTTCATCTCACAGAATTGAACCTTACTTTTGATGGAGCAGTTTGGAGACAGTCTTTTTGTAGTATCTGCGGAGGGATATCTGAGAGCAGTTTAAGGCCTATGGTGAAAAAGGAAATATCTTCACATAAAAACTAGGCAGAAGCATTCTGAGAAACTTCTTTGTGATGTATGCATTCAACTCAAAGAGGTGAAACTTTCTTTGGATTGAGCAGTTTGGAAATAGTCCTTTTGCAGAATCTGCAAAGGGATATTTCTCAGTCCATTGAGGCCTATGGTGAAATAGGAAATAACTTCTCATAAAAACCAGACAGAAGGTTTCTGAGAAACTTCTTTGAGATATGTGCTTTCATCTCACAGAGCTGAACCTTTCTTTTGGCTCAGAAGTTTGGAAACAGTCTTTGTGTAGAATCTGCAAAGCGCTATTTTTGAGCACCTTCTGGACTGTGGTGAAACAGAAAATATCTTCACATAAAAACTAGACAGAAGCTTTCTGAGAAACTTCTTTATGATGTGTTCTTTCATCTCACAGAGTTGTAAATTTCCTTTGATTGAGCAGTTTGGAAACACTCTTTATGGGGAATCTGCAAGTGGATATTTGGAGTGCTTTGTGGCCTATAGTGGAAAATGAAATATCTTCACATAAAAACTAGATAGAATCATTCTGAGAAACTTCTTTGTGATGTGCACATTCATCACAAAGAGTTGAACATTTCTTTCGATTCAGCAGTTTGGAAACAGTCCTTATGTAGAATCTGTGAAGGGATATTTCTCAGACCATTGATGCCTATGGATGAAATAGGAAATATTCTCACAAAAAAACTAGACAGAAAATTTCTGAGAAACTTCTTTATGATATGTGGTTTCATCTCACAGAGTTGAACCGTTCTTTTGTTTGAGCAGTTTGGAAACACATTTTTTGTAGAATCTGCAAGTGGATATTTGGAGCACATTGAGGCCTATGGTGGAAAACGGAATATTTTCACATAAAAATTAGACAGAATCATTCTGAGAAACTTCTTTGTGATGTGTGCATTCAACCCACAGAGTTCAACCTTTCTTTAGATTCAACAGTTTTGAAACACTCTTTTTGTAAAATCTGCCAGTGGATTTTTGGAACGCTTTGAGGCCTACGGTGGAAAAGGAAATATCTTCACATAAATAGTACATAGAAGCATTCTGAGAAACTTCTTTGTGATGTGTGCATTTAACTCAAAGAGTGCAATCCTTCTTTTGATTGAGCAGTTTTGAAAGACTCCTTTTGTAGAATCTGTAAGTGGATATTTGGAGCGCTATGTGGCCTTAAGTGGAAAAGGCAATATCTTCACATAAAAACTAGACAACAGCATTCTGAGAAACTTCTTTGTCATGTGTGCATTCATCTCACAGAGTTGAAGCTTTCTTTTGATTGAGCAGTTTTGAAACACTCTTTTTGTAGAATCTCCAATTGGATACTTGGAGCGTTTTGAGGCTTATGGTAGAAAAGTAAATATTTTCACGTGAAAACTACACAGAAGCATTCTGAGAAATTGGTTTGTGATGTGTGCATTCAACACACAGAGTTGAACCTTTCTTTTGATTTAGCAGTTTTGAAACACACTTTTTTTTGGATCTGCAAGTGGATATTTGGAGTGCTTTGTGGCCTAATGCGGAAAAGGATATATTTTCACATAAAAACTATGGAGAAGCATTCTGAGAAACTTCTTTGTGATGTGTGCATTCATCTCACAGAGTTCAACCTTTCTTTTGATTGAGCAGTTTTGAAACGCTCTTTTTGTAGAGTGTGCAAGCAGATATTTGGAGCTCTTTGAGGCTTATGGTGGAAAAGGAAATATCTTCACATAAAAACTACAGAGAAGCATTCTGACAAAGTTCTTTGTGTTGTGTGTGTTCAACTCACAGAGTTGAGTCTTTCTTTTGATTGAGCAGTTTTGAAACACTCTTTTTTTAGAATCTGCAAGTGGATATTTCGAGTGCTTTGCAGCCTCTGTTGGAAAAGGAAATATCTTCACATAAACTAGACAGAAGCATTCTGAGAAACTTCCTTGTGATGTGTGCATTCATCTCACAGAGAGGAAACTTTCTTTTGATTGTGAAGTTTTCAAACACTCTTTTTGTATAATCTGCAAGTGGATATTTGGAGGTCTTTGTGGCCTATAGGGGAAAAGGAAATATCTTCACATAAAAACTACAGAGAAGCATTCTGAAAAACATCTTTGTGATGTGTGCATTCATCTCAAAGAGTTCAACCTTTCTTTTGATTGAGCACTTTTGAAATACTTTTTGGAGAATCTGTAAGTGGATATTTGGAGGGCTTTGGGTCCTATGGTGGTAAAGGAAACATCTTCACATAAAAACTACACAGAAGCATTCTGAAATACCTCTTTGTGATGCTTGCATTCATCTCACATAGTTGAACCATTCTTTTTATTGAGCAGTTTTGAAACAATCTCCTTGTAGAATGTGCAAGTGGATATTTGGAATGCTTTGATGAGTATGGTGGAAAATGAAAAATCTTCACATAAAAACTAGACAGAAGTACTCTGAGAAACTTCTTTGTGATGTGCGCATTCATCTCAGATTTGAAAATTTCTTTTGATTGAGCAGTTTTGAATCGCTCTTTTTTTAGGATCTGCCAGGGGATATTTGGAGTGCTTTGAGGCCTATGGTGGAGAAGGAAATATCCTCACATAAAAATTAGAGAGAAGGATTCTGAGAAACTTCTTTGTGATGTGTGCATACATCTCACAGAGTTTAAACTTTCTATTGATTTAGCATTTTTTAAACACTTTTTGTAGGATCTGCAGTGGATATTTGGAGCCCTTTGGGGCCTATGGTGGAAAAGAATTATCTTCTCATAAAAACTAGACAGAAGCATTTTGAGAAACTTCTCTGTGATGTGTTCATTCATCTCACAGATTTGAACCATTCTTTTGATTCAGCAGTTTTGAAACACTCTTCGTAGAATCTGCAAGTGCATATTTAGATCGCTTTGAGAAGTGTGGTGGAAAAGGAAATATCTTCACATAAACACTAGACAGAAGCATTCTGAGAAACGTCTTTATGATGTGTCCATTCATCTCACAGAGTTGAAACTTTCTTTTCATTGAGCAGTTTTGAAACACTCTTTTTATAGAATCTGCAAGTAGATATTTGGAGTGCTTTGGAGAGAATGGTGGAAACGGAAATATCTTCATATAAAAACTACGGAGAAGCATTCTGAGAAACGGCTTTGTTATGTGTGCCTTCAACTCACAGAGTTGAAACTTTCTTTTGATTGAACAGTTTTGAATCCCGCTTTTTGTAGAATCTGCAAGTGGATATTTGGAGAGCTTTGGGGCCTATGGTGGAAAAGGAAATATCTTCACATAAAAACTACACAAAAGCATTCTGAGAAACTTCTTTCTGATGTGCGCATACAACTCCCAGAGTTGAACCTTTCTTTTGATTGTGCAATTTTGAAACACTTCTTTTGTAGAATCTGCAAGTGGATATTCGGAGGGCTTTGCCGAGTATAGTGGAAAAGGAAATAACTTTGGATAAAAGGTAGACAGAAACATTCTGAGAAACTTCTATGTGATGTGTGCATTCAACGTACAGAGTTGAACCTTTCTTTAGATCGGGCAGTTTTGAAACACTATTTTTGTAATATCTGCAAGTGGATATTTGATGACCATTGCAGCCTATGGTGGAAAGGCAAATATCTTCACATAAAAACTAGACAGAAGCTTTCTGAGAAACTTCTTTGCGATGTGTGCATTCATTTCACAGAGTTCAACTTTTCTTTTGATTCAGCAGTTTGGAAACAGTATTTTTGTACAATCTGCAAAGGGATACTTCTTAGCCAATTTAGGCCTATTGTGAATTAGGAAATATCTTCACATAAAAAATAAATGGAAGCTTTCTGAGAAACTTCTTTGGGATGTGTGTTTTCATCTCACAGAGATGAAACTTTCTTTTGATTGAGCAGTTTCGAAACTCTCTTTTTGTAGGATCTGCAAATGGATATTTGGAGCGCTTTGAGGCCTGTGGTGAAAAAGGAAATATCTTCACATAACAACCAGACAGAAGCATTCTGGAAACATTTTTGTGATGTGTGCATTCATCTCACAGAGTTGAACCTTTCTTTTGATTGAGCAGTTTGGAAACAGTCTTTTATAGTATCTGCAGAGAGATATTTGTGAGCATTTTGAGGACTTTTGTGAGAAAGGAAATATCTTCATATAAAACCTAGTCAGAAGATTCTGAGAAACTTCTTTGTGATGTGTGCATTCAACTGATAGAGTTGAAACTTTGTTTTGATTGAGCAGTTTGTAAACAGTCCTTTTGTAGGATCTGCAAAGGGATAGTTCTGGGCCCATTGAGACCTATGGTGAAAGAAGAAATATCTTCACTTAAAAACTAGACAGAAGCATTCTGAGAAACTTCTTAGTGATGTGTGCTTTCATCTCACAGGTTTGAACTTTCTTTTGATTGAGCAGTTTGGAAACAGTGTTTTTGTAGAATCTTCAAAGGATATTTTGAGCGCTTTGACGCCTATGGTGAAAAAGGACATATCTTCACATGAAATCTAAACAGAAGCTTTCTGAGAAACTTCTTTTTTATGAGTTCATACATCTCACAGAGGTGAAACTTTCTTTTCATTGAGCAGTTTGGAAACAGTCTTTTTGTACAGTCTGCAAACAAAATTTCTGCGAAGTTGGAGGCCTATCGTGAAAAAGAAATATCTTCAGATAAAATGTAGACAGAAGTATTCTGAGAAAATTTTTTGTGATGTATCTATTCATCTCACAGAGTTGAATTTTTCTTTTGATGGAGCAGTCTGGAAACAGTCTTTTTGTAGTATCTGCAGAGGGATGTGTGAGAGCAGTTTAAGGCCTGTGGTGAGAAAGGAAATATCTTCACATAAAAACTAGGTAGAAGCATTCTAAGAAACTTCTTTGTATTGCGTGCATTCATCTCAAAGACTTGAACTTGTCTTTGGACTGAGCAGTTTGGAAACTGTCGTTTTGTAGAATCTGTGAAGGGATATTTCTGAGCCCATTGAGGCCTATGGATGAAATATGAAATATCTTCACATAAAAACTAGACAGAGGATTTCTGAGAAACTTCTTTGTGATATGTGGTTTCATCTCACAGAGTTGAACCATTCTTTTGGTTGAGCAGTTAGGAAACAGTCTTTTTGTAGGATCTGCAAAGGGATATTTCTGTTCCCATTGATGCCTATGGTGAAAAAGGACATATCTTCACATAAAAACTAGACAGAAGCTTTCTGATAAACTTCTTAGTGATGTGTGCTTTCATGTCACAGATTTGAAACTTTCTTTTGATTGAGCAGTTTGGAAACAGTCTTTTTGTAGAATCTGCAAATGGATATTTGGAGTGCTTTGAGGCCTATGGTGAAAAAGGAAATACCTTCACATGAAATATAAACAGAAGCTTTCTGAGAAACTTCTTTTTGATGCGTGCATACATCTCACAGAGTTGAACGTTTCTTTTCATTGAGCAGTTTGAAAACAGTCTTTTTGTACAATCTGGAATGGGATATTTCTGAGAAGTTGGAGGCCTATATCGAAAACGAAATATCTTCACATAAAAACTAGACAGAAGTATTCTGAGAAACTTCTTTGAGATGTATCCTTTCATTTCACAGAGTTGAACCTTACTTTTGATGGAGCAGTTTGGAGACAGTCTTTTTGTAGTATCTGCAGAGAGATATCTGAGAGCAGTTTAAGGCCTACGGTGAAAAAGGAAATATCTTCACAAAAACCTAGGCAGAAGCATTCTGAGAAACTTCTTTGTGATGTATGCATTCATCTCAAAGAGGTGAAACTTTCTTTGGATTGAGCAGTTTGGAAACAGTCCTTTTGTAGAATCTGCAAAGGGATATTTCTCAGCCCATTGAGGCCTATGGTGAAATAGGAAATATCTTCCCATAAAAACCAGACAGAAGGTTTCTGAGAAACTTCTTTGAGATATGTGCTTTCATCTCACAGAGCTGAACCTTTCTTTTGGTTCAGAAGTTTGGAAACAGTCTTTGTGTAGAATCTTCAAAGGGCTATTTTTGAGCACCTTCTGGACTATGGTGAAACAGAAAATATCTTCACATAAAAACTAGACAGAAGCTTTCTGAGAAACTTCTTTATGATGTGTTCTTTCATCTCACAGAGTTGTAACTTTCCTTTGATTGAGCAGTTTGGAAACACTCTTTATGGGGAATCTGCAAGTGGATATTTGGAGTCCTTTGTGGCCTATAGTGGAAAACGAAATATCTTCACATAAAAACTAGACAGAATCATTCTGAGAAACTTCTTTGTGATGTGCACATTCATCACAAAGAGTTGAACATTTCTTTCGATTGAGCAGTTTGGAAACAGTCCTTTTGTAGAATCTGTGAAGGGATATTTCTCAGCCCATTGATGCCTATGGATGAAATAGGAAATATTCTCACATAAAAACTAGACAGAAAATTTCTGAGAAACTTCTTTATGATATGTGGTTTCATCTCACAGAGTTGAACCGTTCTTTTGTTTGAGCAGTTTGGGAACACATTTTTTGTAGAATCTGCAAGTGGATATTTGGAGCACATTGAGGCCTATGGTGGAAAACGGAATATTTTCACATAAAAATTAGACAGAAGCATTCTGAGAAACTACTTTGTGATGTGTGCATTCAACCCACAGAGTTGAACCTTTCTTTTGATTCAGCAGTTTTGAAACACTCTTTTTGTAAAATCTGACAGTGGATTTTTGGAGTGCTTTGAGGCTTACGGTGGAAAAGGAAATATCTTCACATAAATAGTACACAGAAGCATTCTGAGAAACTTCTTTGTGATGTGTGCGTTTAACTCAAAGAGTGCAATCCTTCTTTAGATTGAGCAGTTTTGAAAGACTTATTTTGCAGAATCTGCAAGTGGATGTTTGGAGCGCTATGTGGCCTTAAGTGGAAAAGGCAATATCTTCACATAAAAACTAGACAACAGCATTCTGAGAAACTTCTTTGTCATGTTTGCATTCATCTCACAGAGTTGAAGCTTTCTTTTGATTGAGCAGTTTTGAAACACTCTTTTTGTAGAATCTCCAGTTGGATACTTGGAGCGTTTTGAGGCCTATGGTAGAAAAGTAAATATCTTCACGTGAAAACTACACAGAAGCATTCTGAGAAATTGGTTTGTGATGTGTGCATTCAACACACAGAGTTGAACCTTTCTTTTGATTGAGTAGTTTTGAAACACACTTTTTTTTAGGATCTGCAAGTGGATATTTGGAGTGCTTTGTGGCCTAATGAGGAAAAGGATATATTTTCACATAAAAACTACGGAGAAGCATTCTGAGAAACTTCTTTGTGATGTGTGCATTCATCTCACAGAGTTCAACCTTTCTTTTGATTGAGCAGTTTTGAAACGCTCTTTTTGTAGAGTGTGCAAGCGGATATTTGGAGCTCTTTGAGGCTTATGGTGGAAAAGGAAATATCTTCACATAAAAACTACAGAGAAGCATTCTGACAAAGTTCTTTGTGTTGTGTGTGTTCAACTCACAGAGTTGAGTCTTTCTTTTGATTGAGCAGTTTTGAAACACTCTTCTTTTAGAATCTGCAAGTGGATATTTCGAGTGCTTTGCAGCCTCTGTTGGAAAAGGAAATATCTTCACATAAACTAGACAGAAGCATTCTGTGAAACTTCCTTGTGATGTGTGCATTCATCTCACAGAGTTGAAACTTTCTTTTGATTGTGAAGTTTTCAAACACTCTTTTTGTGCAATCTGCAAGTGGATATTTGGAGGCCTTTGTGGCCTACAGGGGAAAAGGAAATATCTTCACATAAAAACTAGACAGAAGCATTCTGAGAAACATCTTTGTGATGTGTGCATTCATCTCAAAGAGTTCAACCTTTCTTTTGATTGAGCACTTTTGAAATACCTTTTGGAGAATCTGTAAGTGGATATTTGGAGGGCTTTGGGTCTTATGGTGGTAAAGGAAACATCTTCACATAAAAACTACACAGAAGCATTCTGAAATACCTCTTTGTGATGCTTGCATTCATCTCACATAGTTGAACCATTCTTTTTATTGAGCAGTTTTGAAACAATCTCCCTGTAGAATGTGCAAGTGGATATTTGGAACGCTTTGATGAGTATGGTGGAAAATGAAAAATCTTCACATAAAAACTAGACAGAAGTACTCTGAGAAAGTTCTTTGTGATGTGCGCATTCATCTCACAGATTTGAAAATTTCTTTTGATTGAGCAGTTTTGAAACTCTCTTTTTCTAGAATCTGCCAGTGGATATTTGGAGTGCTTTGAGGCCTATGGTGGAGAAGGAAATATCATCACATAAAAACTAGAGAGAAGCATTCTGAGAAACTTCTTTGTGATGTGTGCATACATCTCACGGAGTTGAAACTTTCTATTGATTTAGCATTTTTTATACACTTTTTGTAGGATCTGCAGTTGCTATTTGGAGCCCTTTGGGGCCAATGGTGGAAAAGTATTATCTTCTCATAAAAACTAGACAGAAGCATTTTGAGCAAATTCTTTGTGATGTGTTCGTTCATCTCACAGATTTGAACCATTCTTTTGATTCAGCAGTTTTGAAGCACTCTTCCTAGAATCTGCAAGTGCATATTTAGATCGCTTTGAGACGTGTGGTGGAAAAGGAAATATCTTCACATAAACACTAGACAGAAGCATTCTGAGAAACGTCTTTGTGATGTGTCCATTCATCTAACAGAGGTGAAACTTTCTTTTCATTGAGCAGTTTTGAAACACTCTTTTTATAGAATCTGCAAGTGGATATTTGGAGCACTTTGGAGAGAATGGTGGAAATGGAAATATCTTCATATAAAAACTATGGAGAAGCATTCTGAGAAACGGCATTGTTATGTGTGCCTTCAGCTCACAGAGTTCAACCTTTCTTTTGATTGAGCAGTTTTGATTCCCTTTTTTTGTAGAATCTGCAAGTGGATATTTGGAGAGTTTTAGGGCCTATGGTGGAAAAGGAAATATCTTCACATAAAAACTACACAAAAACATTCTGAGAAACTTCTTTCTGATGTGTGCATACAACTCCCAGAGTTGAATCTTTCTTTTGATTGTGCAATTTTGAAACACTTCTTTTGTAGAATCTGCAAGTGGATATTAGGAGGGCTTTGCCGAGTATAGTGGAAAAGGAAATAACTTTGGATAAAAGGTAGACAGAAGCATTCTGAGAAACTTCTTTGTGATGTGTGCATTCAACGTACAGAGTTGAACCTTTCTTTAGATTGGGCAGTTTTGAAACACTATTTTTGTAAAATCTGCAAGTGGATATTTGGTGACGATTGCGGCCTATGATGGAAAAGCAAATATCTTCACATAAAAACTAGACAGAAGCATTCTGAGAAACTTCTTTGTGATGTGTGCATTCATCTCACACAGTTCAACTTTTCTTCTGATTCAGCAGTTTGGAAACAGTATTTTTGTACAATCTGCAAAGGGATACTTCTTAGCCGATTTCGGTCTATGGTGAATTAGGAAATATCTTCACATAAAAACTAGACAGAAGCTTTCTGAGAAACTTCTTTGGGATGTGTGTTTTCATCTCAGAGAGATGAAACTTTCTTTTGATTGAGCAATTTCGAAACTTTCTTTTTGTAGGATCTGCAAATGGATATTTGGAGCGCTTTGAGGCCTGTGGTGAAAAAGGAAATATCTTCACATAACAACCAGACAGAAGCATTCTGGAAACATCTTTGTGATGCGTGCATTCATCTCGCAGAGTTGAACATTTCTTTTGATTGAGCAGTTTGGAAACAGTCTTTGATAGTATCTGCAGTGAGATATTTGTCAGCATTTTGAGGACTTGGTGAGAAAGGAAATATCTTCATATAAAACCTAGTCAGAAGATTCTGAGAAACTTCTTTGTGATGTGTGCATTCAACTGATAGAGGTGAAACTTTGTTTTGATTGAGCAGTTTGTAAACAGTCCTTTTGTAGGATCTGCAAAGGGATAGTTCTGGGCCCATTGAGACCTATGGTGAAAGAAGAAATATCTTCACTTAAAAACTAGACAGAAGCATTCTGAGAAACTTCTTAGTGATGTGTGCTTTCATCTCACAGGTTTGAACCTTTCTTTTGATTGAGCAGTTTGGAAACAGTCTTTTTGTAGAATCTGCAAAGGATACTTCAAGCACTTTGAGGCCTATGGTGAAAAAGGACATATCTTCACATGAAATCTAAACAGAAGCTTTCTGAGAAACTTCCTTTTGATGACTGCATACATCTCACAGAGGTGAAACTTTCTTTTCATTGAGCAGTTTGGAAACAGTCTTTTTGTAAAATCTGCAAAGGAATATTTCTGCGAAGTTAGAGGCCTATGGTGAAAAAGAAATATCTTCAGATAAAATGTAGACAGAAGTATTCTGAGAAAATTTTTTGTGATGTATCTATTCATCTCACGGAGTTGAATTTTTCTTTTGATGGAGCAGTGTGGAAACAGTCTTTTTGTAGTATCTGAAGAGGGATATGTGAGAGAAGTTTAAGGCCTGTGGTGAAAAAGGAAATATCTTCACATAAAAACAAGGTAGAAGCATTCTAAGAAACTTCTTTGTATTGTTTGCATTCATCTCAAAGACTTGAACCTGTCTTTGGACTGAGCAGTTTGGAAACTGTCGTTTTGTAGAATCTGTGAAGGGATATTTCTGAGCCCATTGAGGCCTATGGATGAAATAGGAAATATCTTCACATAAAAACAAGACAGAGGATTTCTGAGAAACTTCTTTGTGATATGTGGTTTCATCTCACAGAGTTGAACCATTCTTTTGGTTGAGCAGTTAGGAAACAGTATTTTTGTGGGATCTGCAAAGGGATATTTCTGTTCCCATTGACGCCTATGGTGAAAAAGGACATATCTTCACATAAAAACTAGACAGAAGCTTTCTGATAAACTTCTTAGTGATGTGTGCTTTCATGTCACAGATTTGAAACTTTCTTTTGATTGATCAGTTTGGAAACAGTCTTTTTGTAGAATCTGCAAATGGATATTTGGAGTGCTTTGAGGCTTATGGTGAAAAAGGAAATACCTTCACATGAAATATAAACAGAAGCTTTCTGAGAAGCTTCTTTTTGATGCATGCATACATCTCACAGAGTTGAAAGTTTCTTTTCATTGAGCAGTTTGGAAACAGTCTTTTTGTACAATCTGGAAAGGGATATTTCTGAGAAGTTGGAGGCCTATATCGAAAAAGAAATATCTTCACATAAAAACTAGACAGAAGTATTCTGAGAAACTTCTTTGAGATGTATCCTTTCATCTCACAGAGTTGAACCTTACTTTTGATGGAGCAGTTTGGAGACAGTCTTTTTGTAGTATCTGCGGAGGGATATCTGAGAGCAGTTTAAGGCCTGTGGTGAAAAAGGAAATATCTTCACATAAAAACTAGGCAGAAGCATTCTGAGAAACTTCTTTGTGATGTATGCATTCAACTCAAAGAGGTGAAACTTTCTTTGGATTGAGCAGTTTGGAAACAGTCCTTTTGTAGAATCTGCAAAAGGGTTGTTTCTCAGCCCATTGAGACCTATGGTGAAATAGGAAATATCTTCTCATAAAAACCAGACAGAAGGTTTCTGAGAAACTTCTTTGAGATATGTGCTTTCATCTCACAGAGCTGAACCTTTCTTTTGGTTCAGAAGTTTGGAAACAGTCTTTGTGTAGAATCTGCAAAGCACTATTTTTGAGCACCTTCTGGACTATGGTGAAACAGAAAATATCTTCACATAAAAACTAGACAGAAGCTTTCTGAGAAACTTCTTTATGATGTGTTCTTTCATCTCACAGAGTTGTAACTTTCCTTTGGTTGAGCAGTTTGGAAACACTCTTTATGGGGAATCTGCAAGTGGATATTTGGAGTCCTTTGTGGCCTATAGTGGAAAACGAAATATCTTCACATAAAAACTAGACAGAATCATTCTGAGAAACTTCTTTGTGATGTGCACGTTCATCACAAAGAGTTGAACATTTCTTTCAATTCAGCAGTTTGGAAACAGTCCTTTTGTAGAATCTGTGAAGGGATATTTCTCAGCCCATTGATGCCTATGGATGAAATAGGAAATATTCTCACATTAAAAACTAGACAGAAATTTCTGAGAAACTTCTTTGTGATATGTGGTTTCATCTCACAGAGTTGAACCGTTCTTTTGGTTGAGAAGATTGGAAACACTCTTTTTGTAGAATCTGCAAGTGGATATTTGGAGCACATTGAGGCCTATGGTGGAAAACGAAATATTTTCACATAAAAATTAGACAGAAGCATTCTGAGAAACTACTTTGTGATGTGTGCATTCAACCCACAGAGTTCAACCTTTCTTTTGATTCAGCAGTTTTGAAACACTCTTTTTGTAAAATCTGACAGTGGATTTTTGGAGCGCTTTGAGGCCTACAGTGGAAAAGGAAATATCTTCACATAAATAGTACACAGAAGTATTCTGAGAAACATTTTGTGATGTGTGCATTCATCTCACAGAGTTGAACCTTTCTTTTTATTGAGCAGTTTGGAAACTGTATTTTTGTAGAATCTGCAAGTGGATATTTGGAGCACTTTGAGGCCCATGGTGGAAAAGGACATATCTTCCCATAAAAACTAGACAGCAGCATTTTGAGAAACTTCTTTGTGATGTGTGGATTCATCTCACAGAGTTGAAGCTTTCTTTTGATTGAGTAGTATTGAAACACTCTTGTGGAATCTCCAATTAGATACTTGGAGCGCTTTGAGGCCTATGGTGGAAAAGGAAATATCTTCACATGAAAACTACACAGAAGCATTCTGAGAAATTGGTTTGTGATGTGTGCATTCAACACACAGAGTTGAACCTTTCTTTTGATTGAGCAGTTTTGAAACACACTTTTTTTAGGATCTGCAAGTGGATATTTGGAGTGCTTTGTGGCCTACTGCGGAAAAGGATATATCTTCACATAAAAACTACGGAGAAGCATTCTGAGAAACTTCTTTGTGATGTGTGCATTCATCTCACAGAGTTCAACCTTTCTTTTGATTGAGCAGTTTTCAACCACTCTTTTTGTAGAGTGTGCAAGTGGATATTTGGAGCACTTTGAGGCTTATGGTGGGAAAGGAAATATCTTCACATAAAAACTACAGCGAAGCATTCTGAGAAACTTCTTTCTTATGCGTGCATTCAACTCACAGAATTGAACCTTTCTTTTGATTGAGCAGTTTTGAAACACTATTTTTGTAAAATCTACAAGTGTATATTGGGTGCAATTTGCATCCAATGGTGGAAAAGCAAATATCTTCACATAAAAACTAGACAGAAGCATTCTGAGAATCTTCTTTGTGATGTGTACATTCACTTCACAGAGTTATAACTTTTTTTATTGAGGACTTTTGAAACACTCTTTTTGTAGAATCTACAAGTGGGTGTTTGGAGCACTTTGTGGCCTATAGTGGAAAAGGATGTATATTCACATAAAAACTAGACAGACAAGCATTCTGAAAAACATCTTTGTGATGTGTGCATTCATCTCAAAGAGTTCAACCTTTCTTTTGATTGAGCACTTTTGAAATACTTTTTGGAGAATCTGTAAGTGGATATTTGGAGGGCTTTGGGTCCTATGGTGGTAAAGGAAACATCTTCACATAAAAACTACACAGAAGCATTCTGAAATACCTCTTTGTGATGCTTGCATTCATCTCACATAGTTGAACCATTCTTTTTATTGAGCAGTTTTGAAACAATCTCCTTGTAGAATGTGAAAGTGGATATTTGGAACGCTTTGAGGAGTATGGTGGAAAATGAAAAATCTTCACATAAAAACTAGACAGAATTACTCTAAGAAACTTCTTTGTGATGTGCACATTCATCTCACAAATTTGAAAATTTCTTTTGATTGAGCAGTTTTGAAACGCTCTTTTTCTAGAATCTGCCAGTGTTTATTTGGAGTGCATTGAGTCCTATGGTGGAGAAGGAAATATCCTCACATAAAAACTAGAGAGAAGCATTCTGAGAAACTTCTTTGTGATGTGTGCATACATCTCACAGAGTTGAAACTTTCTATTGATTTAGCATTTTTTATACACTTTTTGAAGGATCTGCAGTTGTTATTTGGAGCCCTTTGGGGCCAATGGTGGAAAAGTATTATCTTCTCATAAAAACTAGACAGAAGCATTTTGAGAAACTTCTCTGTGATGTGTTCATTCATCTCACAGATTTGAAACATTCTTTTGATTCAGCAGTTTTGAAACACTCTTCGTAGCATCTGCAAGTGCATATTTAGATCGCTTTGAGAAGTGTGGTGGAAAAGGAAATATCTTCACATAAACACTAGACAGAAGCATTCTGAGAAACGTCTTTGTGATGTGTCCATTCATTTCACAGAGTTGAAACTTTCTTTTCATTGAGCAGTTTTGAAACACTCTTTTTATAGAATCTGCAAGTGGATATTTGGAGCGCTTTGGAGAGAATGGTGGAAAAGGAAATATCTTCATATAAAAACTATGGAGAAGCATTCTGAGAAACAGCATTGTTATGTGAGCCTTCAGCTCACGGAGTTGAACCTTTCTTTTGATTGAGCAGTTTTGAATCCCTCTTTTTGTATAATCTGCAAGTGGATATTTGGAGAGCTTTAGGGCCTATGGTGGAAAAGGAAATATCTTCACATAAAAACTACACAAAAGCATTCTGAGAAACTTCTTTCTGATGTGTGCATACAACTCCCAGAGTTGAATCTTTCTTTTGATTGTGCAATTTTGAAACACTTCTTTTGTAGAATCTGCAAGTGGATATTCGGAGGGCTTTGCCGAGTATAGTGGAAAAGGAAATAACTTTGGATAAAAGGTAGACAGAAACATTCTGAGAAACTTCTTTGTGATGTGTGCATTCAACGTACAGAGTTGAACCTTTCTTTAGATCGGGCAGTTTTGAAACACTATTTTTTTAATATCTGCAAGTGGATATTTGGTGACCATTGCAGCCTATGGTGGAAAGGCAAATATCTTCACATAAAAACTAGACAGAAGCATTCTGAGAATCTTCTTTGTGATGTGTGCATTCATCTCACACAGTTCAACTTTTCTTTTGATTCAGCAGTTTGGAAACAGTATTTTTCTACAATCTGCAAAAGGATACTTCTTAGCCGATTTAGGCCTATGGTGAATTAGGAAATATCTTCACATAAAAAATAAACAGAAGCTTTCTGAGAAACTTCTTTGGGATGTGTGTTTTCATCTCACAGAGATGAAACTACCTTTTGATTGAGCAATTTGGAAACTCTCTTTTTGTAGGATCTGCAAATGGATATTTGGAGTGCTTTGAGGCCTGTGGTGAAAAAGGAAATATCTTCACATAACAACCAGACAGAAGCATTCTGGAAACATTTTTGTGATGTGTGCGTTCATCTCACAGAGTTGAACCTTTCTTTTGATTGAGCAGTTTGGAAACAGTCTTTTATAGTATCTGCAGAGAGATATTTGTGAGCATTTTGAGGACTTTGGTGAGAAAGGAAATATCTTCATATAAAACCTAGTCAGAAGATTCTGAGACACTTCTTTGTGATGTGTGCATTCAACTGACAGAGTTGAAACTTTGTTTTGATTGAGCAGTTTGTAAACAGTCCTTTTGTAGGATCTGCAAAGGGATATTTCTGGGCCCATTGAGACCTATGGTGAAAGAAGAAATATCTTCACTTAAAAACTAGACAGAAGCATTCTGAGAAACTTTTTAGTGATGTGTGCTTTCATCTCACAGGTTTGAACTTTCTTTCGATTGAGCAGTTTGGAAACAGTGTTTTTGTAGAATCTGCAAAGGATATTTTGAGCGCTTTGACGCCTATGGTGAGAAAGGACATATCTTCACATGAAATCTAAACAGAAGCTTTCTGAGAAACTTCTTTTTTATGAGTTCATACATCTCACAGAGGTGAAACTTTCTTTTCATTGAGCAGTTTGGAAACAGTCTTTTTGTACAGTCTGCAAAGGAAATTTCTGCGAAGTTGGAGGCCTATGGTGAAAAAGAAATATCTTCAGATAAAATGTAGACAGAAGTATTCTGAGAAAATTTTTTGTGATGTATCTATTCATCTCACAGATTTGAATTTTTCTTTTGATGGAGCAGTCTGGAAACAGTCTTTTTGTAGTATCTGCAGAGGGATGTGTGAAAGCAGTTTAAGGCCTGTGGTGAAAAAGGAAATATCTTCACATAAAAACTAGGTAGAAGCATTCTGAGAAACTTCTTTATGTTCTGTGCATTCATCTCAAAGAGTTGAACCTGTCTTTGGATTGAGCAGTTTGGAAATTGTCGTTTTGTAGAATCTGTGAAAGGATATTTCTGAGCCCATTGAGGCCTATGGATGAAGTAGGAAATATCTTCATATAAAAACTAGACAGAGGATTTCTGAGAAACTTCTTTGTGATATGTGGTTTCATCTCACAGAGTTGAACCATTCTTTTGGTTGAGCAGTTAGGAAACAGTATTTTTGTGGGATCTGCAAAGGGATATTTCTGTTCCCATTGACGCCTATGGTGAAAAAGGACATATTTTCACATAAAAAGTAGACAGAAGCTTTCTGATAAACTTCTTAGTGATGTGTGCTTTCATGTCACAGATATGAAACTTTCTTTTGATTGAGCAGTTTGGAAACAGTCTTTTTGTAGAATCTGCAAATGGATATTTGGAGCGCTTTGAGGCCTATGGTGAAAAAGGAAATACCTTTGCATGAAATATAAACAGAAGCTTTCTGAGAAACTTCTTTTTGATGCATGCATACATCACACAGAGTTGAAAGTTTCTTTTCATTGAGAAGTTTGGATACAGTCTTTTTGTACAATCTGGAATGGGATATTTCTGAGAAGTTGGAGGCCTATATCAAAAAAGAAATATCTTCACATAAAAACTAGACAGAAGTATTCTGAGAAACTTCTTTGTGATGTATCCATTCATCTCACAGAGTTGAACCTTTCCTTTGATGGAGCAGTTTGGAAACAGTCTTTTTGCAGTATCTGCAGAGGGATATGTGAGAGCAGTTTAAGGGCTATGGTGAAAAAGGAAATATCTTCACATAAAAACTAGACAGAAGCATTCTGAGAAACTTGTTTGTGATGCGTGCATTCAACTCAAAGAGGTGAAACTTTCTTTGGATTGAGCAGTTTGGAAATAGTCCTTTTGCAGAATCTGCAAAGGGATATTTCTCAGTCCATTGAGGCCTATGGTGAAATAGGAAATAACTTCTCATAAAAACCAGACAGAACGTTTCTGAGAAACTTCTTTGAGATATGTGCTTTCATCTCACAGAGTTGAACCTTTATTTTGGTTCAGAAGTTTGGAAACAGTCTTTGTGTAGAATCTGCAAAGGGCTATTTTTGAGCACCTTCTGGACTATGGTGAAACATAAAATATCTTCACATAAAAACTAGACAGGAGCTTTCTGTAAGAAACTTCTTTATGATGTGTTCTTTCATCTCACAGAGTTGTAACTTTCCTTTGATTGAGCAGTTTGGAAACACTCTTTATGGGGAATCTGCAAGTGGATATTTGGAGTCCTTTGTGGCCTATAGTGGAAAACGAAATATCTTCACATAAAAACTAGACAGAATCATTCTGAGAAACTTCTTTGTGATGTGCACATTCATCACAAAGAGTTGAACATTTCTTTCGATTCAGCAGTTTGGAAACAGTCCTTTCGTAGAATCTGTGAAGGGATATTTCTCAGCCCATTGACGCCTATGGATGAAATAGGAAACATTCTCACATAAAAACTAGACAGAAAATTTCTGAGAAACTTCCTTATGATATGTGGTTTCATCTCACAGAGTTGAACCATTCTTTTGGTTGAGCAGTTTGGAAACACATTTTTTGTAGAATCTGCAAGTGGATATTTGGAGCACATTGAGGCCTATGGTGGAAAACGGAATATTTTCACATAAAAATTAGACAGAAGCATTCTGAGAAACTACTTTGTGATGTGTGCATTCAACCCACAGAGTTCAACCTTTCTTTTGATTCAGCAGTTTTGAAACACTCTTTTTGTAAAATCTGACAGTGGATTTTTGGAGTGCTTTGAGGCCTACGGTGGAAAAGGAAATATCTTCACATAAATAGTACACAGAAGCATTCTGAGAAACTTCTTTGTGATGTGTGCATTTAACTCAAAGAGTGCAGTCCTTCTTTAGATTGAGCAGTTTTGAAAGACTCCTTTTGCAGAATCTGCAAGTGGATGTTTGGAGCGCTATGTGGCCTTAAGTGGAAAAGGCAATATCTTCACATAAAAACTAGACAACAGCATTCTGAGAAACTTCTTTGTCATGTGTGCATTCATCTCACAGAGTTGAAGCTTTCTTTTGATTGAGCAGTTTTGAAACACTCTTTTTGTAGAATCTCCAATTGGATACTTGGAGTGTTTTGAGGCCTATGGTAGAAAAGTAAATATTTTCACGTGAAAACTACACAGAAGCATTCTGAGAAATTGGTTTGTGATGTGTGCATTCAACACACAGAGTTGAACCTTTCTTTTGATTGAGTAGTTTTGAAACACACTTTTTTTAGGATCTGCAAGTGGATATTTGCAATGCTTTGTGGCCTAATGCGGAAAAGGATATATTTTCACATAAAAACTACGGAGAAGCATTCTGAGAAACTTCTTTGTGATGTGTGCATTCAACTCACAGAGTTGAACCTTTCTTTTGTTTGAGCAGTTTTGAAACACTATTTTTGTAAAATCTGCAAGTGGATACTTGGCGCGCTTTGCGGCCTATGGTGGAAAAGCAAATATCTTCACATAAAAACTAGAGAGAAGCATTCTGACAAAGTTCTTTGTGTTGTGTGTGTTCAACTCACAGATTTGAGTCTTTCTTTTGATTGAGCAGTTTTGAAACACTCTTTTTTTAGAATCTGCAAGTGGATATTTCGAGTGTTTTGCAGCCTCTGTTGGAAAAGGAAATATCTTCACATAAACTAGACAGAAGCAATCTGAGAAACTTCTTTGTGATGTGTGCATTCATCTCACAGAGTTGAAACTTTCTTTTGATTGTGAAGTTTTCAAATACTCTTTTTGTAGAATCTGCAAGTGGATATTTGGAGGCCTTTGTGACCTACAGGGGAAAAAGAAATATCTTCACATAAAAACTAGACAGA
>NC_000013.11:16022637-16110659 GCF_000001405.40 Homo sapiens
AACATGATGAGAAACTGCTTTGTGATGCGTGCATTCATCACCAGTAGTTGAGTTTCTCTTTTGATTGAACAGTTTTGAAACACTCTTTCTGAAGAATCTGAAAGGGATATTTGGAGCGCTTTGCAGCCTATGGTGAAAAAGGAAATATCTTCACATAAAAGCTAGACAGAAGCATTCTAAGAAAGTGCTTTGTGACGTGTGCATTCATCTCACAGTGTTGAAGCTTTCTTTTGATTGAGCAGTTTTGAAACACTCTTATTGTAGAATCTGCAAGTGGATATTTGGAGAGTATGAGGCCACTGGTGGAAAAGCAAATATCTTCACATCAAAACTAGACAGAATCATTATAAGTAATCTCTTTGAGATGCGTGCATTCAACTCACAGAGTTGGACATTTCCTTTGATTGAGCAGTGTGGAAACAGTCTTTTTGCAGTATCTGCAAACGGATATTTGGAGCACTTTCAGGCCTATAGTAGGAAAGGAAATATCTTCACATAAAAACTACACAGAAAATTACTGAGAAACTTCTTAATGATGTGTGCATTCATCTCACAGAGTTGAAACTTTCTTTTGATTGAGCAGTTTGGAAACACTCTTTTAGTAGAAACTGCAAGGGGATATTTGGAGAGTTTTGTGGTCTATGGTAGAAAAGGATATATCTTCACATAAAAATAGAAGCATTCTGAGGAACTTCATGATGTGTGCATTCGTCTCAAGGAGTTGAACTTTTCTTTTGATTGAGCAGCTTTGAATAACTCTTTCTGCAGAATCTGCAAGTTGATATTTGGAGTGCTTTGTGGCCTATAGTAGAAAAGGAAATATCTTTACATAAAACTAGACAGAAGCATTCTGAGAAAATTTTTTGTGATGTGTGCATTCAACTCACAGAGTTGAACCTTTCTTTTGATCGAGGAGTTTGGAAGCAGTCTTTTTGTAATATCTACAAATGGATATTTGCATCACTTTACTTCATGGAATGGAAAAGGAAACATCTTAACATAAAAACTAGACAAAAGCATTCTGAGAAACTTCTTTGTGACGTGTGCATTCAACTCATGGAGTTCAACCTTTCTTTTGATTCAGCAGTTTGGAAACAGTCTTTTTACAGTATCTGCAAATGGCTATTTGGAGAGCATTGACGCCTATGGTGGAAAAGGAAATCTCTTCTCATAAAAACTAGACAGCAGCATTCTGAGAAACTTATTTGTGATCTGTGCATTCATCTCACAGAGTTGAACCTTTCTTTTGATTCAGCAGTTTTGAAACTGTCGTTTTGTAGAATCTGCAAAGGAATATTTGTGAGCCCATTGAGGCTTCTGGGGTGATAGGAAATATCTTCACATTAAAACTAGACAGATACTTTCGGAGAAACTATTTTGTCATGTGTGACTTCTACTCACAGGGTTGAAACTTTCTCTTGATTGAGCAGTTTGGAAACAGTCTTTTTGTAGAATCTGCAAATTGATATTTGGAGTGCTTTTGGCCTACGTTGAAAAACGAAATATCTTCCCATAAAAAGTAGGCAGAAGTTTTGGAGAAACTTATTTTGATGTGTGCATTCATCTCACACAGTTGAAATTTTCTTTTGATTGAGCAGTGTGGATACACTCGTTTTGTAGAGTCTGCAAGTGGATATTTGGAGCACTTTGTGGCCTATAGTGAAAAAGGAAATATCTTCACATAAAAACTAGATAGAAGAATTCTGAGAAACTTCCTTTGAATGGGCGCATTCATCTCACACTGTTGAACTTTTTTTTTTGATTGATCACCGTCTAAACAGTCATTTTGTAGAATATGCAAAGGAATATTTGTGAGCCCATTGATGCCTCTGGGGAAACAGGAAATATCTTCACATAAAAACGAGACAGAATCTTTCTCAGAAACTTCTTTGTGATGTGTGCATTCATCTCACTGAGTTGAACTTTATTTTTATTGAGCAGTTTGGAAACAGTCTTTTTCTAGTATCTGCAAATGGATATTTTAAGCGCTCTGAGGCCTACGGTGAAAAAGGAAATATCTTCAATATAAATCAGACAGAAGCATTCATAGAAACTTCTTTGTGAGGTGTGCATTCATCTCACAGATTAGAACTTTTCTTTTGATTTAGCAGTTTTGAAACACTCTTTTTGTAGAATCTGCAATGTATGTTTGAAGCGCATGAGGAATATGGTGGAAAAGGAATCTTCTTCACATAAAAACGAGACAGAAGCATTCTGAGAAACTTCTCTGTGATGGATGCATTCATTTCCCAGAGTTAAACCTTTCCTGTGATTGAGCGGTTTGGAAACAGTAGTTTTTTACAATCTGCAGAAGGATACTTGTGAGCCGATTGAGGTCTATGGGGTGATAAGAAATATGTTCACATAAAAACTAGATAGAAAGTTTCTGAGAAACTTCTTTGTGATATTTGCTTTTATCTCATAGAGTTGAAACTTTCTTTTTATTGAGCAGTTTGGGAACAGTCTTTTTGTAGTATCTGCAAATGGATATTACCAGGGCTTTGAGGCCTATGGTGAAAAAGGAAATATCTTCACATAAAAACAAGGCAGAAGCATTCTGAGAAACTTCTTTTTGATGTCTGCATTCATCTCACAGAGTTGAACCTTTCTTTTGATTGAGCAGTTTTGAAACGCTCTATTTGTAGTGTCTGCAAGTGGATATTTGGAACGCTTTGAGGCCTATAGTGGAAAAGGAAATATCTTCACATAAAAAACCAGAAAGAAAGAATTCTGAGAAACTTCCTAGGAAGGTTTATTTTCGTCTCACACTGTTAAACCCGTCTTTTGATTGAGCAGCTTCGATACAGTCTTTTAGTAGAATATGAAAGGGAATATTTGAGAGCCCATTGAGGCCTCTGGGGAAATAAGAAATATCTTCACCTAAAAACAAGACAAAACTTTCTGAGCAACTTCCTTGTGATGTGTGCATTTATCACACGCAGTTGAACTTTCTTTTGATTGAGCAGTTTGGAAACAGTCATTTGTATTATCTATAAATGGATATTTGGAGTGTAATGAGGCCTATGGTGAAAAAGGAAATATCTTCACATAAAAATCAGATGGAAGCATTCTTAGAAACTCCTTTGTGTTGTGTTCATTCATCTCACAGACTTCAAACTTTCTAATGATTGAGCAGTTTTGAAACTCTCTTTTTGTAGAATCTGCCAGTGGATATTTGGAGCGCTCTGTGGCCAATAGTGGATAAGGAAATATCTTCATAAAAAAAATAAACAGAAGCACTTTAAGAAAGTTCTCTGTGTTGTATGCAGTCATATCTCAGACATGAAACTTTCTTTGGTACAGCAGTTTTAAAACACTCTTTTTGGAGATTCTGAAAGTAGATATTTGGAGAGACTTGAGGACTACGGTGGAAAAGGAAATATCTTCACAAAAAAACTAGACAGACAAAAAAGAAACATTCTGAGAAGCTTCTTTGTGATGTGTGCGTCCATCTCGAAGAGTTGAACCTTTCTTTTGATTGCGCATTTTTGAGGCACTCTTTTTGTAGAATCTTCAAGTGGATATTTGGAGGGTTTGTGGCCTGTGGTGGAAAAGCAAATATATTCACATAAAAACTAGATAGAAGCATTCTGAGAGCTTCTTTGTGATGTGCTCATTCAACTCACAGAGTTGAGCTTTTCTTTTGATTGAGCAGTTTGGAAACAGTCTTTTTGTAGAATCTGCAGGTGGATATTTGGAGCGCATTACGGCCTATAGTGGAAAAGGAAATATATTCACATAAAAACTAGACAGAAGCATTCTGAGAAACTTCTTTGTGATGTGCTCATTCAACTCACAGAGTTGAACTTTTCTTTTGTTTGAGCAGTTTGCAATCAGTCTTTTTGTAGAATCTGCAAGTGGATATTAGGAGTGCATTACGGCCTATAGTGGAAAATGAAATAACTTCACATAAAAAATAGACAGAAACGTTATGAGAAACTGCTTTGTGATGCTTGCATTCATCACCAGAGTTGAGTTTCTCTTTTGATTGAACAGTTTTGAAACACTCTTTCTGTAGAATCTGAAAGGGATATTTGGAGCGCTTTGCAGCCTATGGTGAAAAAGCAAATATCTTCACATAAAAGCTAGACAGAAGCATTCTAAGAAAGTGCTTTGTGACGTGTGCATTCATCTCACAGTGTTGAACCTTTCTTTTGATTGAGCACTTTTGAAACACTCTTATTGTAGAATCTGCAAGTGGATATTTCGAGAGTTTGAGGCCACTGGTGGAAAAGCAAATATCTTCACATCAAAACTAGACAGGATCATTATAAGTAATCTCTTTGAGATGCGTGCATTCAACTCACAGAGTTGGACGTTTCCTTTGATTGAGCAGTTTGGAAACAGTCTTTTTGCAGTATCTGCAAGCGGATATTTGGAGCACTTTCAGGCCTATAGTAGGAAAGGAAATATCTTCACCTAAAAACTAGACAGAAAATTACTGAGAAACTTCTTAATGATGTGTGCATTCATCTCACAGAGTTGAAACTTCTTTTGATTGAGCCGTTTGGAAACTCTCTTTTAGTAGAAACTGCAAGGGGATATTTGGAGCGTTTTGTGGTCTATGGTAGAAAAGGCTATATCTTCACATAAAAATAGAAGCATTCTGAGGAACTTCATGATGTGTGCATTCATCACAAAGAGTTGAACTTTTCTTTTGATTGAGCAGCTTTGAAAAACTCTTTCTGCAGAATCTGCAAGTTGATATTTGGAGTGCTTTGTGGCCTATAGTAGAAAAGGAAATATCTTTACATAAAACTAGACAGAAGCATTCTGAGAAACTTCTTTGTGATGTGTGCATTCATCTCACAGAGTTGAATCTTTCTTTTGTTTGAGCAGTTTTGAAACTCTCTTTTTGTAGAATCTTCAAGTGGATATTTTCAGCGCTTTGAGGCCTATGTTGGAAAAGAAAATATCTTCACATAAAAACTAGTCAGAAGCATTCTGAGAAACTTCTTTGTGACGTGTGCATTCAACTCATGGAGTTCAACCTTTCTTTTGATTCAGCAGTTTGGAAACAGTCTTTTTACAGTATCTGCAAATGGATATTTGGAGAGCTTTGAGGCCTATGGTGGAAAAGGAAATCTCTTCCCATAAAAACTAGACAGCAAGCATTCTGAGAAACTTCTGCCTGATGGGTGTATTCACTTCACGGAGTTGAACCTTTCCTTGTATTGAACAGTTTGGAAACAATCGTTTCGTAGAATCTGCAGAGGGATATTTTTGAGCCCATTGAGACGTATGGGGTGATAGGAAATATCTTCACATAAAAACTAGACAGATACTTTCTGAGAAACTATTTTGTCATGTGTGACTTCTACTCACTGGGTTGAAACTTTCTCTTGATTGAGCAGTTTGGAAACAGTCTTTTTGTAGAATCTGCAAATTGATATTTGGAGTGCTTTTGGCCTACGTTGTAAAACGAAATATCTTCCCATATAAAGTAGGCAGAAGTTTTGGAGAAATTTATTTTGATGTGTGCATTCATCTCACACAGTTGAAATTTTCTTTTGATTGAGCAGTGTGGATACACTCGTTTTGTAGAGTCTGCAAGTGGATATTTGGAGCACTTTGCGGCCTATAGTGAAAAAGGAAATATCTTCACATAAAAACTAGATAAAAGAATTCTGAGAAACTTCCTTTGAATGGGCGCATTCATCTCACACTGTTGAACTCTTTTTTTGATTGAGCACCTTCTAAACAGTCATTTTGTAGAATATGCAAAGGAATATTTGTGAGCCCATTGATGCCTCTGGGGAAACAGGAAATATCTTCACATAAAAACGAGACAGAATCTTTCTCAGAAACGTCTTGGTGATGTGTGCATTCATCTCACTGAGTTGAACTTTATTTTGATTGAGCAGTTTGGAAACAGTCTTTTCTACTATCTGCAAATGGATATTTGAAGCACTCTGAGGCCTACGGTGAAAAAGGAAATATCTTCAATATAAATCAGACAGAAGCATTCATAGAAACTTCTTTGTGATGTGTGCATTCATCTCACCGACTAGAACCTTTCTTTTGATTGAGCAGTTTTGAAACACTCTTTTAGCGGAATCTGCAAGTGTTTATTTGGAGCGCATGAGGAATATGGTGGAAAAGGAATATTCTTCACATGGAAACGAGACGGAAGCATTCTGAGAAACTTCTCTGTGATGGATGCATTCATTTCACAGAGTTAAACCTTTCCTGTGATTGAACGGTTTGGAAACAGTAGTTTTTTACACTCTGCAGAAGGATACTTGTGAGCTGATTGAGGTCTATGGGGAGATAAGAAATATGTTCACATAAAAACTAGATAGAAAGATTCTGAGAAACTTCTTTGTGATATTTGCTTTTATCTCATAGAGTTGAAACTTTCTTTTTATTGAGCAGTTTGGGAACAGTCTTTTTGTAGTATCTGCAAATGGATATTACCAGTGCTTTGAGGCCTATGGTGAAAAAGGAAATATCTTCACATAAAAACAAGGCAGAAGCATTCTGAGAAACTTCTTTTTGATGTCTGCATTCATCTCACAGAGTTGAACCTTTCTTTTGATTGAGCAGTTTAGAAACGCTCTATTTGTAGTATCTGCAAGTGGATATTTGGAACGCTTTGAGGCCTATAGTGGAAAAGGAAATATCTTCACATAAAAACCTAGAAAGAAGAATTCTGAGAAACTTCCTAGGAATGTGTACTTTCTTCTCACACTGTTGAACCTTTCTTTTGATTGAGCAGCTTCGATACAGTCATTTAGTAGAATCTGAAAGAGAATATTTGAGAGCCCATTGAGGCCTCTTGGGAAATAAGAAATATCTTCACCTAAAAACTAGACAAAAATTTTCTGAGAAACACCCTTGTGATGTGTGCATTCATCATACACAGTTGAACTTTCTTTTGATTGAGCAGTTTGGATACAGTCATTTGTACTATCTGTAAATGGATATTTGGAGTGTACTGAGGCCTATGGTGAAAAAGGAAATATCCTCACATAAAATTCAGATGGAAGCATTCTTAGAAACTCCTTTGTGATGTGTGCACTCATCTCACAGACTTCAAACTTTCTATTGATTGAGCAGTTTTGAAACACTCTTTTTGTAGAATCTGCCAGTGGATATTTGGAGCGCTACTGTGGCCCATAGTGGAAAAGGAAATATCTTCATAAAAAAAATAAACAGAAGCACCTTGAGAAAGTTCTCTGTGTTGTATGCAGTCATATCTCAGACATGAAACTTTCTTTGGTACAGCAGTTTTAAAACACTCTTTTTGGAGATTCTGAAAGTAGGTATTTGGAGAGACTTGAGGACTACGGTGGAAAAGGAAATATCTTCACAAAAAAAGTAGACAGAAGCATTCTGAGAAGCTTCTTTGTGATATGTGCATCCATCTCAAAGAGTTGAACCTTTCTTTTGATTGAGCATTTTTGAAGCACTCTTTTTGTAGAATCTTCAAGTGGATATTTGGAATGCTTTGTGGCCTGTGGTGGAAAAGGAAATATCTTCACATAAAAACTAGACAGAAGCATTCTGAGAAACTTCTTTGTGATGTGCTCATTCAACTCACAGAGTTGAGCTTTTCTTTTGATTGAGCAGTTTGGAAACAGTCTTTTTGTAGAATCTGCAAGTGGATATTTGGAGCGCATGACGACCTATAGTGGAAAAGGAAATATATTCACATAAAAACTAGACAGAAGCATTCTGAGAAACTTCTTTGTGATGTGCTCATTCAACTCACAGAGTTGAACTTTTCTTTTGTTTGAGCAGTTTGCAAACAGTCTTTTTGTAGAATCTGCAAGTGGATATTAGGAGTGTATTACGGCCTATAATGGAGAATGAAATATCTTCACATAAAAACTAGACAGAAACATTATGAGAAACTGCTTTGTGATGCGTGCATTCATCACCAGAGTTGAGTTTCTCTTTTGATTGAACAGTTTTGAAACATTCTTTCTGTAGAATCTGAAAGGGATATTTGCAGCGCTTTGCAGCCTATGGTGAAAAAGGAAATATCTTCACATAAAAGCTAGACAGAAGCATTCTGGGAAAATTCTTTGTGATGTGTGCATTCAACTAACACTGTTGAACCCTTCTTTTGATTGAGCAATTTTGAAACACTCTTTTTGTAGAATCTGCAAGTGTATATTTGGAGTGCTTTGCAGACTACAGTTTAAAAGGGAATATCTTCACCTAAAAACTAGACAGAATCATTATAAGTAATCTCTTTGAGATGCATGCATTCAACTCACAGAGTTGGACATTTCCTTTGATTGAGCAGTGTGGAAACAGTCTTTTTGCAGTATCTGCAAACGGATATTTGCAGCACTTTCAGGCCTATAGTAGGAAAGGAAATATCTTCACATAAAAACTAGACAGAAAATTACTGAGACACTTCTTAATGATGTGTGCATTCATCTCACAGAGTTGAAACTTTCTTTTGATTGAGCCGTTTGGAAACACTCTTTTAGTAGAAACTGCAAGGGGATATTTGGAGCGTTTTGTGGTCTATGGTAGAAAAGGATATATCTTCACATAAAAATAGAAGCATTCTGAGGAACTTCATGATGTGTGCATTCATCTCAAAGAGTTGAACTTGTCTTTTGACTGAGCAGCTTTGAAAAACTCTTTCTGCAGAATCTGCAAGTTGATATTTGGAGTGCTTTGTGGCCTATAGTAGAAAAGGAAATATCTTTACATAAAACTAGACAGAAGCATTCTTAGAAACTACTTTGTGAGGAGTGCATTCATCTCACAGACTTCAACCTTTCTTTTGATTGAGCAGTTTTGAAACACTCTTTTTGCAGGATCTGCAAGTGTATATTTGAAGCGCTTTGAGGCCTGTGGTGGAAAAGGAAACATCTTCACATAAAAACTAGACACAAGCTTTCTGAGAAACTTCTTTGTGATGTGTGCATTCAACTCATGTAGTTGAACCTTTCTTTTGATTCAGCAGTTTGGAAACAGTCTTTTTGTAGTATCTGCAAATGGATATTTGGAGAGCTTTGAGGCCTATGGTGGAAAAGGAAATATCTTCACATAAAAACTAGACAGAAGCATTCTGAGAAACTTATTTGTGATCTGTGCATTCATCTCACAGAGTTGAACCTTTCTTTTGATTCAGCAGTTTTGAAACTGTCGTTTTGTAGAATCTGCAAAGGAATATTTGTGAGCCCATTGAGGCTTCTGGGGTAATAGGAAATATCTTCACATAAAAACTAGACAGATACTTTCTGAGAAACTATTTTGTCATGTGTGACTTCTACTCACCGGGTTGAAACATTCTGTTGATTGAGCAGTTTGGAAACAGTCTTTTTGTAGAATCTGCAAATTGATATTTGGAGTGCTTTTGGCCTACGTTGAAAAACGAAATATCTTCCCATAAAAAGTAGGCAGAAATTTTGGAGAAATTTATTTTGATGTGTGCATTCATCTCACACAGTTGAAATTTTCTTTTGATTGAGCAGTGTGGATACACTCGTTTTGTAGAGTCTGCAAGTGGATATTTGGAGCACTTTGTGGCCTATAGTGAAAAAGGAAATATCTTCACATAAAAACTAGATAGAAGAATTCTGAGAAACTTCCTTTGAATGGGCGCATTCATCTCACACTGTTGAACTTCTTTTTTGATTGAGCACCTTCTAAACAGTCATTTTGTAGAATATGCAAAGGAATATTTGTGAGCCCATTGATGCCTCTGGGGAAACAGGAAATATCTTCACATAAAAACGAGACAGAATCTTTCTCAGAAACGTCTTGGTGATGTGTGCATTCATCTCACTGAGTTGAACTTTATTTTGATTGAGCAGTTTGGAAACAGTCTTTTCTAGTATCTGCAAATGGATATTTTAAACACTCTGAGGCCTACGGTGAAAAAGGAAATATCTTCAATATAAATCAGACAGAAGCATTCATAGAAACTTCTTTGTGATGTGTGCATTCATCTCACCGACTAGAACCTTTCTTTTGATTGAGCAGTTTTGAAACACTCTTTTAGCGGAATCTGCAAGTGTTTATTTGGAGCGCATGAGGAATATGGTGGAAAAGGAATCTTCTTCACATGAAAACGGACGGAAGCATTCTGAGAAACTTCTCTGTGATGGATGCATTCATTTCACAGAGTTAAACCTTTCCTGTGACTGAGCGGTTTGGAAACAGTAGTTTTTTACAATCTGCAGAAGGATACTTGTGAGCCGATTGAGGTCTATGGGGTGATAAGAAATATGTTCACATAAAAACTAGATAGAAAATTTATGAGAAACTTCTTTGTGATATTTGCTTTCATCTCACAGAGTTGAAACTTTCTTTTGATTGAGCAGTTTGGGAACAGTCTTTTTGTAGTATCTGCAAATGGATATTACCAGTGCTTTGAGACCTATGGTGAAAAAGGAAATATCTTCCCATAAATACAAGGCAGAAGAATTCTGAGAAACTTCTTTTTGATGTCTGCATTCATCTCACAGAGTTGAACCTTTCTTTTGATTGAGCAGTTTTGAAACGCTCTATTTGTAGTATCTGCAAGTGGATATTTGGAACGCTTTGAGGCCTATAGTGGAAAAGGAAATATCTTCACATAAAAAACTAGAAAGAAGAATTCTGAGAAACTTCCTAGGAATGTGTGCTTTCTTCTCACACTGTTGAACCTTTCTTTTGATTGAGCAGCTTCGATACAGTCATTTAGTAGAATCTGAAAGAGAATATTTGAGAGCCCATTGAGGCCTCTTGGGAAATAAGAAATATCTTCATCTAAAAACTAGACAAAAACTTTCTGAGAAACACCCTTGTGATGTGTGCATTCATCATACACAGTTGAACTTTCTTTTGATTGAGCAGTTTGGATACAGTCATTTGTATTATCTGTAAATGGATATTTGGAATGTACTGACGCCTATGGTGAAAAAGGAAATATCCTCACATAAAATTCAGATGGAAGCATTCTTAGAAACTCCTTTGTGATGTGTACATTCATCTCACAGACTTCAAACTTTCTATTGATTGAGCAGTGTTGAAACACTCTTTTTGTAGAATCTGCCAGTGGATATTTGGAGCGCTCTGTGGCCAATAGTGGAAAAGGAAATATCTTCATCAAAAAAATAAACAGAAGCACTTTGAGAAACTTCTCTGTGTTGTATGCAGTCATATCTCAGACATGAAACTTTCTTTGGTACAGCAGTTTTAAAACACTCTTTTTGGAGATTCTGAAAGTAGATATTTGGAGAGACTTGAGGACTACGGTGGAAAAGGAAATATCTTCACCAAAAAACTAGACAGAAACATTCTGAGAAGCTTCTTTGTGATGTGTGCATCCATCTCGAAGAGTTGAACCTTTCTTTTGATTGAGCATTTTTGAAGCACTCTTTTTGTAGAATCTTCAAGTGGATATTTGGAGTGTTTGTGGCCTGTGGTGGAAAAGGAAATATATTCACATAAAAACTAGATAGAAGCATTCTGAGAAACTTCTTTGTGATGTGCTCATTCAACTCACAGAGTTGAGCTTTTCTTTTGATTGAGCAGTTTGGAAACAGTCTTTTTGTAGAATCTGCAAGTGGATATTTGGAGCGCATGATGGCCTATAGTGGAAAAGGAAATATATTCACATAAAAACTAGACAGAAGCATGCTGAGAAACTTCTTTGTGATGCGTGCATTCAACTAAAAAAGTTGAACATTTCTTTTGATTGAGTAGTTTGGAAACAGTCTTTTTGTAGAATCTGCAAGTGGATATTTGGAGTGCTTTACGGCCTATAGTGGAAAACGAAATACCTTCACATAAAAACTAGACAGAAACATTATGAGAAACTGCTTTGTGATGCGTGCATTCATCACCAGAGTTGAATTTCTCTTTTGATTGATCAGTTTTGAAACACTCTTTCTGTAGAATCTGAAAGGGATATTTGGAGCGCTTTGCAGCCTATGGTGAAAAAGGAAATATCTTCACATAAAAGCTAGACAGAAGCATTCTAAGAAAGTGCTTTGTGACGTGTGCATTCATCTCACAGTGTTGAACCTTTCTTTTGATTGAGCAGTTTTGAAACACTCTTATTGTAGAATCTGCAAGTGGATATTTGGAGAGTTTGAGGTCACTGGTGGAAAAGCAAATATCTTCACATCAAAACTAGACAGAATCATTATAAGTAATCTCTTTGAGATGCAGTGCATTCAACTCACAGAGTTGGACCGTTTCCTTTGATTGAGCAGTTTGGAAACAGTCTTTTTGCAGTATCTGCAAGCGGATATTTGGAGCACTTTCAGGCCTATAGTAGGAAAGGAAATATCTTCACATAAAAACTAGACAGAAAATTACTGAGAAACTTCTTTATGATGTGTGCATTCATCTCACAGAGTTGAAACTTTCTTTTGATTGAGCAGTTTGGAAACACTCTTTTAGTAGAAACTGCAAGGGGATATTTGGAGCGTTTTGTGGTCTATGGCAGAAAAGGCTATATCTTCACATAAAAATAGAAGCATTCTGAGGAACTTCATGATGTGTGCATTAATCTCAAAGAGTTGAACTTTTCTTTTGATTGAGCAGCTTTGAAAATCTCTTTCTGCAGAATCTGCAAGTTGATATTTGGAGTGCTTTGTGGCCTATAGTAGAAAAGGAAATATCTTTACATAAAACTAGACAGAAGCATTCTCAGAAACTTCTTTGTGATGTGTGCATTCATCTCACAGACTTCAAACTTTCTATTGATTGAGCAGTTTTGAAACACTCTTTTTGCAGTATCTGCAAGTGTATATTTGAAGTGCTTTGAGGCTTCTGGTGGAAAAGGAAGCATCTTCACATAAAAACTAGACACAAGCATTCTGAGAAACTTCTTTGTGACGTGTGCATTCAACTCATGGAGTTCAACCTTTCTTTTGATTCAGCAGTTTGGAAACAGTCTTTTTACAGTATCTGCAGATGGATATTTGGAGAGCTTTGAGGCCTATGGTGGAAAAGGAAATCTCTTCCCATAAAAACTAGACAGCAGCATTCTGAGAAACTTATTTGTGATCTGTGCATTCATCTCACGGAGTTGAACCTTTCTTTTGATTCAGCAGTTTTGAAACTGTCGTTTTGTAGAATCTGCAAAGGAATATTTGTGAGCCCATGGAGGCTTCTGGGGTGATAGGAAATATCTTCACATAAAAACTAGACAGATACTTTCTGAGAAACTATTTTGTCATGTGTGACTTCTACTCACCAGGTTGAAACTTTCTCTTGATTGAGCAGTTTGGAAACAGTCTTTTTGTAGAATCTGCAAATTGATATTTGGAGTGCTTCTGGCCTACGTTGAAAAACGAAATATCTTCCCATAAAAAGTAGGCAGAAGTTTTGGAGAAATTTATTTTGATGTGTGCATTCATCTCACACAGTTGAAATTTTCTTTTGATTGAGCAGTGTGGATACACTCGTTTTGTAGCGTCTGCAAGTGGATATTTGGAGCACTTTGTGGCCTACAGTGAAAAAGGAAATATCTTCACATAAAAACTAGATAGAAGAATTCTGAGAAACTTCCTTTGAATGGGCGCATTCATCTCACACTGTTGAACTTTTTTTTTTGATTGAGCACCTTCTAAACAGTCATTTTGTAGAATATGCAAAGGAATATTTGTGAGCCCATTGATGCCTCTGGGGAAACAGGAAATATCTTCACATAAAAACGAGACAGAAATCTTTCTCAGAAACGTCTTGGTGATGTGTGCATTCATCTCACTGAGTTGAACTTTATTTTGATTGAGCAGTTTGGAAACAGTCTTTTCTAGTATCTGCAAATGGATATTTTAAGCACTCTGAGGCCTACAGTGAAAAAGGAAATATCTTCAATATAAATCAGACAGAAGCATTCATAGAAACTTCTTTGGGATGTGTGCATTCATCTCACCGACTAGAACCTTTCTTTTGATTGAGCAGTTTTGAAACACTCTTTTAGCGGAATCTGCAAGTGTTTATTTGGAACGCATGAGGAATATGGTGGAAAAGGAATCTTCTTCACATGAAAACGAGACGGAAACATTCTGAGAAACTTTTCTGTGATGGGCGCATTCATTTCACAAAGTTAAACCCTTCCTGTGATTGAATGGTTTGGAAACATTTGTTTTGTATAATCTGCAGAAGGATATTTTTGAGCTGATTGAGGCCTATGGGGCGATAGGAAATATGTTCACATAAAAACTAGACAGAAAGTTTCTGAGAAACTTCTTTGTGATATTTGCTTTTATCTCATAGAGTTGAAACTTTATTTTTATTGAGCAGTTTGGGAACAGTCTTTTTGTAGTATCTGCAAATGGATATTACCAGTGCTTTGAGGCCTATTTTGAAAAAGGAAATATCTTCACATAAAAACAAGGCAGAAGCATTCTGAGAAACTTCTTTTTGATGTCTGCATTCATCTCACAGAGTTGAACATTTCTTTTGATTGAGCAGTTTTGAAACGCTCTATTTGTAGTATCTGCAAGTGGATATTTGGAACGCTTTGAGGCCTATAGTGGAAAAGGAAATATCTTCACATAAAAAACTAGAAAGAAGAATTCTGAGAAACTTCCTAGGAAGCTGTATTTTCGTCTCACACTGTTAAACCCGTCTTTTGATTGAGCAGCTTCGATACAGTCATTTAGTAGAATATGAAAGGGAATATTTGAGAGCCCATTGAGGCCTCTGGGGAAATAAGAAATATCTTCACCTAAAAACTAGACAAAATCTTTCTGAGAAACCCCCTTGTGATGTGTGCATTCATCATGCACAGTTGAAATTTCTTTTGATTGAGCAGTTTGGATACAGTCATTTGTATTTTCTGTAAATGGATATTTGGAGTGTATTGAGGCCTATGGTGAAAAAGGAAATATCCTCACATAAAATTCAGATGGAAGCATTCTTAGAAACTCCTATGTGATGTGTGCATTCATCTCACAGACTTCAAACTTTCTATTGATTGAGCAGTTTTGAAACACTCTTTTTGTAGAATCTGCCAGTGGATATTTGGAGCGTTCTGTTGCCCATAGTGGAAAAGGAAATATCTTCATAAAAAAAATAAACAGAAGCACTTTGAGAAAGTTTTCTGTGTTGTATGCAGTCATAACTCAGACATGAAACTTTCTTTGGTACAGCAGTTTTAAAACACTCTTTTTGGAGATTCTGAAAGTAGATATTTGGAGAGACTTGAGGACTACGGTGGAAAAGGAAATATCTTCACAAAAAAACTAGACAGAAACATTCTGAGAAGCTTCTTTGTGATGTGTGCGTCCATTTCGAAGAGTTGAACCTTTCTTTTGATTGAGCATTTTTGAAGCACTCTTTTTGTAGAATCTTCAAGTGGATATTTGGAGGGTTTGTGGCCTGTGGTGGAAAAGGAAATATATTCACATAAAAACTAGATAGAAGCATTCTGAGAAACTTCTTTGTGATGTGCTCATACAACTCACAGAGTTGAGCTTTTCTTTTGATTGAGCAGTTTGGAAACAGTCTTTTTGTAGAATCTGCAAGTGGATATTAGGAGTGCATTACGGCCTATAGTGGAAAAGGAAATATATTCACATAAAAACTAGACAGAAGCATGCTGAGAAACTTCTTTGTGATGTGCTCATTCAACTCACAGAGTTGAACTTTTCTTTTGTTTGAGCAGTTTGCAAACAGTCTTTCTGTAGAATCTGCAAGTGGATATTAGGAGTGCATTACGGCCTATAGTGGAAAATGAAATATCTTCACATAAAAACTAGACAGAAATATTATGAGAAACTGCTTTGTGATGCGTGCATTCATCACCAGAGTTGAGTTTCTCTTTTGATTGAACAGTTTTGAAACTCTCTTTCTGTAGAATCTGAAAGGGATATTTGGAGCGCTTTGCAGCCTATGGTGAAAAAGGAAATATCTTCACATAAAAGCTAGACAGATGCATTCTAAGAAAGTGCTTTGTGACGTGTGCATTCATCTCACAGTGTTGAAGCTTTCTTTTGATTGAGCAGTTTTGAAACACTCTTATTGTAGAATCTGCAAGTGGATATTTGGAGAGTTTGAGGTCACTGGTGGAAAAGCAAATATCTTCACATCAAAACTAGACAGAATCATTATAAGTAATCTCTTTGAGATGCGTGCATTGAACTCACAGAGTTGGACATTTCCTTTGATTGAGCAGTGTGGAAACAGTCTTTTTGCAGTATCTGCAAACGGATATTTGGAGCACTTTCAGGCCTATAGTAGGAAAGGAAATATCTTCACATAAAAACTAGACAGAAAATTACTGAGAAACTTCTTAATGATGTGTGCATTCATCTCACAGAGTTGAAACTTCTTTTGATTGAGCAGTTTGGAAACACTCTTTTAGTAGAAACTGCAAGGGGATATTTGGAGCGTTTTGTGGTCTATGGTAGAAAAGGATATGTCTTCACATAAAAATAGAAGCATTCTGAGGAACTTCTTCATGACGTGTGCATTCATCTCAAAGAGTTGAACTTTTCTTTTGATTGAGCAGCTTTGAAAAACTCTTTCTGCAGAATCTGCAAGTTGATATTTGGAGTACTTTGCGGCCTATAGTAGAAAAGGAAATATCTTCACATAAAACTAGACAGAAGCATTCTGAGAAACTTCTTTGTGATGTGTGCATTCATCTCACAGAGTTGAATCTTTCTTTTGTTTGAGCAGTTTTGAAACTCTCTTTCTGTAGAATCTTCAAGTGGATATTTTTAGCGCTTTGAGGCCTATGGTGGAAAAGAAAATATCTTCACATAAAAACTAGTCAGAAGAATTCTGAGAAACTTCTTTGTGACGTGTGCATTCAACTCATGGAGTTCAACCTTTCTTTTGATTCAGCAGTTTGGAAACAGTCTTTTTACAGTATCTGCAAATGGCTATTTGGAGAGCTTTGAGGCCTATGGTGGAAAAGGAAATCTCTTCCCATAAAAACTAGACAGCAGCATTCTGAGAAACTTATTTGTGATCTGTGCATTCATCTCACAGAGTTGAACCTTTCTTTTGATTCAGCAGTTTTGAAACTGTCGTTTTGTAGAATCTGCAAAGGAATATTTGTGAGCCCATTGAGGCTTCTGGGGTGATAAGAAATATCTTCACATAAAAACTAGACAGATACTTTCTGAGAAACTATTTTGTCATGTGTGACTTCTACTCACCAGGTTGAAACTTTCTCTTGATTGAGCAGTTTGGAAACAGTCTTTTTGTAGAATCTGCAAATTGATATTTGGAGTGCTTTTGGCCTACGTTGAAAAACGAAATATCTTCCCATAAAAAGTAGGCAGAAGTTTTGGAGAAATTTATTTTGATGTGTGCATTCATCTCACACAGTTGAAATTTTCTTTTGATTGAGCAGTGTGGATACACTCGTTTTGTAGAGTCTGCAAGTGGATATTTGGAGCACTTTGTGGCCTACAGTGAAAAAGGAAATATCTTCACATAAAAACTAGATAGAAGAATTCTGAGAAACTTCCTTTGAATGTGCGCATTCATCTCACATTGTTGAACTTTTTTTTTTGATTGAGCACCTTCTAAACAGTCATTTTGTAGAATATGCAAAGGAATATTTGTGAGCCCATTGATGCCTCTGGGGAAATAGGAAATATCTTCACATAAAAACGAGACAGAATCTTTCTCAGAAACGTCTTGGTGATGTGTGCATTCATCTCACTGAGTTGAACTTTATTTTGATTGAGCAGTTTGGAAAGTGTCTTTTCTAGTATCTGCAAATGGATATTTTAAGCACTCTGAAGCCTACGGTGAAAAAGGAAATATCTTCAATATAAATCAGACAGAAGCATTCATAGAAACTTCTTTGTGATGTGTGCATTCGTCTCACCGACTAGAACCTTTCTTTTGATTGAGCAGTTTTGAAACACTCTTTTAGCAGAATCTGCAAGTGTTTATTTGGAGTGCATGAGGAATATGGTGGAAAAGGAATCTTCTTCACATAAAAACGAGACAGAAGCATTCTGAGAAACTTCTCTGTGATGGGTGCATTCATTTCACAGAGTTAAACCTTTCCTGTGATTGAGCGGTTTGGAAACAGTCGTTTTTTATAATCTGCAGAAGGATACTTGTGAGCCGATTGAGGTCTATGGGGTGATAAGAAATATGTTCACATAAAAACTAGATAGAAAGTTTCTGAGAAACTTCTTTGTGATATTTGCTTTTATCTCCTAGAGTTGAAACTTTCTTTTTATTGAGCAGTTTGGGGACAGTCTTTTTGTAGTATCTGCAAATGGATATTACCAGTGCTTTGAGGCCTATGGTGAAAAAGGAAATATCTTCACATAAAAACAAGGCGGAAGCATTCTGAGAAACTTCTTTTTGATGTCTGCATTCATCTCACAGAGTTGAACCTTTCTTTTGATTGAGCAGTTTTGAAAGGCTCTATTTGTAGGATCTGCAAGTGGATATTTGGAACGCTTTGAGGCCTATAGTGGAAAACGAAATATCTTCACATAAAAACCTAGAAGGAAGAATTCTGAGAAACTTCCTAGGAAGGTGTATTTTCGTCTCACACTGTTAAACCCGTCTTTTGATTGAGCAGCTTCGATACAGTCATTTAGTAGAATATGAAAGGGAATATTTGAGATCCCATTGAGGCCTCTGGGGAAATAAGAAATATCTTCACCTAAAAACAAGACAAAAACTTTCTGAGAAACACCCTTGTGATGTGTGCATTCATCATACACAGTTGAACTTTCTTTTGATTGAGCAGTTTGGATACAGTCATTTGTATTATCTGTAAATGGATATTTGGAGTGTACTGAGGCCTATGGTGAAAAAGGAAATATCCTCACATAAAATTCAGATGGAAGCATTCTTAGAAACTCCTTTGTGATGTGTACATTCATCTCACACACTTCAAACTTTCTACTGATTGAGCAGTTTTGAAACACTCTTTTTGTAGAATCTGCCAGTGGATATTTGGAGCGCTCTGTGGCCCATAGTGGAAAAGGAAATATCTTCATAAGAAAAATAAACAGAAGCACTTTGAGAAAGTTCTCTGTGTTGTATGCAGTCATAACTCAGACATGAAACTTTCTTTGGTACAGCAGTTTTAAAACACTCTTTATGGAGATTCTGAAAGTAGATATTTGGAGAGACTTGAGGACTACGGTGGAAAAGGAAATATCTTCACAAAAAAACTAGACAGAAACATTCTGAGAAGCTTCTTTGTGATGTGTGCATCCATCTCAAAGCAGTTGAACCTTTCTTTTGATTGAGCATTTTTGAAGCACTCTTTTTGTAGAATCTTCAAGTGGATATTTGGAGTGTTTGTGGCCTGTGGTGGAAAAGGAAATATATTCACATAAAAACTAGATAGAAGCATTCTGAGAAACTTCTTTGTGATGTGCTCATTCATCTCACAGAGTTGAACTTTTCTTTTGATTGAGCAGTTTGGAAACAGTCTTTTTGTAGAATCTGCAGGTGGATATTTGGAGCGCATTACGGCCTATAGTGGAAAAGGAAATATATTCACATAAAAACTAGACAGAAGCATTCTGAGAAACTTATTTGTGATGTGCTCATTCAACTCACAGATTTAAACTTTTCTTTTGATTGAGCAGTTTGGAAACAGTCTTTTTGTAGTACCTGCAAATGGATATTTGGAGTGCTTTGGGGCCTGTGGTGGAAAAGGAAATATATACACACAAAAACTAGACAGATAAATATTATGAGAAACTGCTCTGTGATGCGTGCATTCATCACCAGGGTTGAACCTTTCTTTTGATTGAACAGTTTTGAAACACTCTTTCTGTAGAATCTGAAGGGGATATTTGGAACGCCTTGCGGCCTATGGTGAAAAACGAAATATCTTCACATAAAAACTAGACAGAAGCATTCTAAGAAAGTGCTTTGTGACGTGTGCATTCATCTCACAGTGTTGAACCTTTCTTTGATTGAGCAGTTTTGAAACACTCTTATTGTAGAATCTGCAAGTGGATATTTGGAGAGTTTGAGGCCACTGGTGGAAAAGCAAATATCTTCACATCAAAACTAGACAGAATCATTATGAGTAATCTCTTTGAGATGCGTGCATTCAACTCACAGCATTTGGACATTTCCTTTGATTGAGCAGTTTGGAAACAGTCTTTTTGCAGTATCTGCAAACGGATATTTGGAGCACTTTCAGGCCTATAGTAGGAAAGGAAATATCTTCACATAAAAACTAGACAGAAAATTACTGAGAAACTTCTTATTGATGAGTGCATTCATCTCACAGAGTTGAAACTTCTTTTGATTGAGCAGTTTGGAAACACTCTTTTAGTAGAAACTGCAAGGGGATATTTGGAGCGTTTTGTCGTCTATGGTAGAAAAGGCTATATCTTCACATAAAAATAGAAGCATTCTGAGGAACTTCCTGATGTGTGCATTCATCTCAAAGAGTTGAACTTTTCTTTTGATTGAGCAGCTTTGAAAAACTCTTTCTGCAGAATCTGCAAGTTGATATTTGGAGTGCTTTGTGGCCTATAGTAGAAAAGGAAATATCTTTACATAAAACCAGACAGAAGCATTCTTAGAAACTTCTTTGTGATGTGTACATTCATCTCACAGACTTCAACCTTTCTTTTGATTGAGCAGTTTTGAAACACTCTTTTTGCAAGATCTGCAAGTGTATATTTGAAGCACTTTGAGGCCTCTGGTGGAAAAGGAAACATCTTCACATAAAAGCTAGACACAAGCATTCTGAGAAACGCCTTTGTGACGTGTGCATTCAACTCATGGAGTTCAACCTTTCTTTTGATTCAGCAGTTTGGAAACAGTCTTTTTACAGTGTCTGCAAATGGATATTTGGAGAGCTTTGAGGCCTATGGTGGAAAAGGAAATATCTTCCCATAAAAACTAGACAGCAGCATTCTGAGAAACTTATTTGTGATCTGTGCATTCATCTCCCAGAGTTGAACCTTTCTTTTGATTCAGCAGTTTTGAAACTGTCGTTTTGTAGAATCTGCAAAGGAATATTGTGAGCCCATTGAGGCTTCTGGGGTGATAGGAAATATCTTCACGTAAAAACTAGACAGATACTTTCTGAGAAACTATTTTGTCATGTGTGACTTCTACTCACCGGGTTGAAACTTTCTCTTGATTGAGCAGTTTGGAAACGGTCTTTTTGTAGAATCTGCAAATTGATATTTGGAGTGCTTTTGGCCTATGTTGAAAAACAAAATATCTTCCCATAAAAAGTAGGCAGAAGCTTTTGGAGAAATTTCTTTGTGATGTGTGCATTCATCTCACACAGTTGAACTTTTCTTTTGATTGAGCAGTGTGGAAACACTCTTTTTGTAGAGTCTGCAAGTGGATATTTTGAGTGCTTTGTGGCCTATAGTGAAAAAGGAAATATCTTCACATAAAAACTGGACAGAAGAATTCTGAGAAACTTCCTTTGAATGGGCGCATTCATCTCACACTGTTGAAATTTTTTTTTGATTGAGCACCTTCTAAACAGTCATTTTGTAGAATGTGCAAAGGAATATTTGTGAGCCCATTGATGCCTCTGGGGAAACAGGAAATATCTTCACATAAAAACGAGACAGAATCTTTCTCAGAAACGTCTTGGTGATGTGTGCATTCATCTCACTGAGTTGAACTTTATTTTGATTGAGCAGTTTGGAAACAGTCTTTTCTAGTATCTGCAAATGGATATTTTAAGCACTCTGAGGCCTACGGTTAAAAAGGAAATATCTTCAATATAAATCAGACAGAAGCATTCATAGAAACTTCTTTGTGATGTGTGCATTCATCTCACCGACTAGAACCTTTCTTTTGATTGAGCAGTTTTGAAACACTCTTTTAGCGGAATCTGCAAGTGTTTATTTGGAGCGCATGAGGAATATGGTGGAAAAGGAATCTTCTTCACATGGAAACGAGACGGAAGCATTCTGAGAAACTTCTCTGGGATGGATGCATTCATTTCACAGAGTTAAACCTTTCCTGTGATTGAGCGGTTTGGAAACAGTAGTTTTTTACAATCTGCAGAAGGATACTTGTGAGCCGATTGAGGTCTATGGGGTGATAAGAAATATGTTCACATAAAAACTAGATAGAAAGTTTCTGAGAAACTTCTTTGTGATATTAGCTTTTATCTCATAGAGTTGAAACTTTCTTTTTATTGAGCAGTTTGGGAACAGTCTTTTTGTAGTATCTACAAATGGATATTACCAGTGCTTTGAGGCCTATGGTGAAAAAGGAAATATCTTCACATAAAAACAAGGCGGAAGCATTCTGAGAAACTTCTTTTTGATGTCTGCATTCATCTCACAGAGTTGAACCTTTCTTTCGATTGAGCAGTTTTGAAAGGCTCTATTTGTAGGATCTGCAAGTGGATATTTGGAACGCTTTGAGGCCTATAGTGGAAAAGGAAATATCTTCACATAAAAACCTAGAAAGAAGAATTCTGAGAAACTTCCCAGGAAGGTGTATTTTCGTCTCACACTGTTAAACCTTTCTTTTGATTGAGCAGATTCGATACAGTCGTTTAGTAGAATATGAAAGGGAATATTTGAGAGCCCATTGAGGCCTCTGGGGAAGTAAGAAATAACTTCACCTAAAAATTAGACAAAAACTTTCTGAGAAACTTCCTTGTGATGTGTGTATTCATCATACACAAGTTGAACTTTCTTTTGATTGAGCGGTTTGGATACAGTCATTTGTATTATCTATAAATGGATATTTGGAGCGTATTGAGGCCTATGGTGAAAAAGGAAATATCCTCACATAAAATTCAGATGGAAGCATTCTTAGAAACTCCTTTGTGATGTGCACATTCATCTCACAGACTTCAAACTTTCTATTGATTGAGCAGTTTTGAAACACTCTTTTTGTAGAATCTGCCAGTGGATATTTGGAGCGCTCTGTGGCCCATAGTGGAAAAGGAAATATCTTCATAAGAAAAATAAACAGAAGCACTTTGAGAAACTTCTCTGTGTTGTATGCAGTCATATCTCAGACATGAAACTTTCTTTGGTACAGCAGTTTTCAAACACTCTTTTTGGAGATTCTGAAAGTAGATATTTGGAGAGACTTGAGGACTACGGTGGAAAAGGAAATATCTTCACAAAAAAACTAGACAGAAACATTCTGAGAAGCTTCTTTGTGATGTGTGCATCCATCTCAAAGAGTTGAAACTTTCTTTTGATTGAGCATTTTTGAAGCACTCTTTTTGTAGAATCTTCAAGTGGATATTTGGAGTGTTTGTGGCCTGTGGTGGAAAAGGAAATATATTCACTTAAAAACTAGACAGAAGCATTCTGAGAAACTTCTTTCTGATGTGCTCATTCAACTCACAGAGTTGAGCTTTTCTTTTGATTGAGCAGTTTGGAAACAGTCTTTTTGTAGAAACTGCAAGTGGATATTTGGAGCGCATTACGGCCTATAGTGGAAAAGGAAATATATTCACATAGAAACTAGACAGAAGCATTCTGAGAAACTTCTTTGTGATGTGCTCATTCAACTCACAGAGTTGAACTTTTCTTTTGTTTGAGCAGTTTGCAAACAGTCTTTTGTAGAATCTGCAAGTGGATATTAGGAGTGCATTACGGCCTATAGTGGAAAATGAAATAACTTCACATAAAAAATAGACAGAAACATGATGAGAAACTACTATGTGATGCGTGCATTCATAACCAGAGTTGTGTTTCTCTTTTGATTGAACAGTTTTGAAACACTCTTTCTGTTGAATCTGAAAGGGATATTTGGAGCGCTTTGCAGCCTATGGTGAAAAAGGAAATATCTTCACATAAAAGCTAGACAGAAGCATTCTAAGAAAGTGCTTTGTGACGTGTGCATTCATCTCAGAGTGTTGAACCTTTCTTTTGATTGAGCAGTTTTGAAACACTCTTATTGTAGAATCTGCAAGTGGATATTTGGAGAGTTTGAGGCCACTGGTGGAAAAGCAAATATCTTCACATCAAAACTAGACAGAATCATTATAAGTAATCTCTTTGAGATGCGTGCATTCAACTCACAGAGTTGGACATTTCCTTTGATTGAGCAGTTTGGAAACAGTCTTTATGCAGTATCTGCAAACGGATATTTGGAGCACTTTCAGGCCTATAGTAGGAAGGGAAATATCTTCACATAAAAACTAGACAGCAAATTACTGAGACACTTCTTAATGATGTGTGCATTCATCTCACAGCGTTGAAACTTTCTTTTGATTGAGCCGTTTGGAAACACTCTTTTAGTAGAAACTGCAAGGGGATATTTGGAGCGTTTTGTGGTCTATGGTAGAAAAGGATATGTTCACATAAAAATAGAAGCATTCTGAGGAACTTCCTGATGTGTGCATTCGTCTCAAAGAGTTGAACTTTTCTTTTGATTGAGCAGCTTTGAAAAACTCTTTCTGCAGTATCTGCAAGTTGATATTTGGAGTGCTTTGTGGCCTATAGTAGAAAAGGAAATATCTTTACATAAAACTAGACAGAAGCATTCTGAGGAAACTTCTTTGTGATGTGTGCATTCATCTCACAGAGTTGAATCTTTCTTTTGTTTGAGCAGTTTTGAAACTCTCTTTTTGTAGAATCTTCAAGTGGATATTTTCAGCGCTTTGAGGCCTACGGTGGAAAAGAAAATATCTTCACATAAAAACTAGTCAGAACCATTCTGAGAAACTTCTTTATGACGTGTGCATTCAACTCATGGAGTTCAACCTTTCTTTTGATTCAGCAGTTTGGAAACAGTCTTTTTACAGTATCTGCAAATGGCTATTTGGAGAGCTTTGAGGCCTATGGTGGAAAAGGAAATCTCTTCCCATTAAAACTAGACAGCAGCATTCTGAGAAACTTATTTGTGATCTGTGCATTAATCTCACAGAGTTGAACCTTTCTTTTGATTCAGCAGTTTTGAAACTGTCGTTTTGTAGAATCTGCAAAGGAATATTTGTGAGACCATTGAGGCTTCTGGGGTGATAGGAAATATCTTCACATAAAAACTAGACAGATACTTTCTGAGAAACTATTTTGTCATGTGTGACTTCTACTCACTGGGTTGAAACTTTCTCTTGATTGAGCAGTTTGGAAACAGTCTTTTTGTAGAATCTGCAAATTGATATTTGGAGTGCTTTTGGCCTACGTTGAAAAACGAAATATCTTCCCATAAAAAGTAGGCAGAAGTTTTGGAGAAATTTATTTTGATGTGTGCATTCATCTCACACAGTTGAAATATTCTTTTGATTGTGCAGTGTGGATACACTCGTTTTGTAGAGTCTGCAAGTGGATATTTGGAGCACTTTGTGGCCTATAGTGAAAAAGGAAATATCTTCACATAAAAACTAGATAGAAGAATTCTGAGAAACTTCCTTTGAATGGGCGCATTCATCTCACACTGTTGAACTTTTTTTTTGATTGAGCACCTTCTAAACAGTCATTTTGTAGAATAGGCAAAGGAATGTTTGTGAGCCCATTGATGCCTCTGGAGAAACAGGAAATATCTTCACATAAAAACGAGACAGAATCTTTCTCAGAAACGTCTTGGTGATGTGTGCATTCATCTCACTGAGTTGAACTTTACTTTGATTGAGCAGTTTGGAAACAGTCTTTTCTAGTATCTGCAAATGGATATTTTAAGCACTCTGAGGCCTACGGTGAAAAAAGAAATATCTTCAATATAAATCAGACAGAAGCATTCATAGAAACTTCTTTGTGATGTGTGCATTCATCTCACTGACTAGAACCTTTCTTTTGATTGAGCAGTTTTGAAACACTTTTATAGCAGAATCTGCAAGTGTTTATTTAGAGTGCATGAGGAATATGGTGGAAAAGGAATCTTCTTCACATAAAAACGAGACAGAAGCATTCTGAGAAACTTCTCTGTGATGGGTGCATTCATTTCACAGAGTGGAACCTTTCCTGTGATTGAGTGGTTTGGAAACAGTCGTTTTTTATAATCTGCAGAAGGATACTTGTGAGCCATTGAGGTCTATGGGGTGATAAGAAATATGTTCACATAAAAACTAGATAGAAAGTTTCTGAGAAACTTCTTTGTGATATTTGCTTTTATCTCCTAGAGTTGAAACTTTCTTTTTATTGAGCAGTTTGGGGACAGTCTTTTTGTAGTATCTGCAAATGGATATTACCAGTGCTTTGAGGCCTATGGTGGAAAAGGAAATATCTTCACATAAAAACAAGGCGGAAGCATTCTGAGAAACTTCTTTTTGATGTATGCATTCATCTCACAGAGTTGAACCTTTCTTTTGATTGAGCAGTTTTGAAACGCTCTATTTGTAGTATCTGCAAGTGGATATTTGGAACGCTTTGAGGCCTATAGTGGAAAAGGAAATATCTTCACATAAAAAACTAGAAAGAAGAATTCTGAGAAACTTCCTAGGAAGGTGTGTTTTCGTCTCACACTGTTAAACCCGTCTTTTGATTGAGCAGCTTCGATACAGTCATTTAGTAGAATATGAAAGGGAATATTTGAGAGCCCATTGAGGCCTCTGGGGAAATAAGAAATATCTTCACCTAAAAACTAGACAAAATCTTTCTGAGAAACAGCCTTGTGATGTGTGCCTTCATCATACACAGTTGAACTTTCTTTTGATTGAGCAGTTTGGATACAGTCATTTGTATTATCTGTAAATGGATATTTGGAGTGTACTGAGGCCTATGGTGAAAAAGGAAATATCCTCACATAAAATTCAGATGGAAGCATTCTTAGAAACTCCTTTGTGATGTGTACATTCATCTCACAGACTTCAAACTTTCTATTGATTGAGCAGTTTTGAAACACCCTTTTTGTAGAATCTGCCAGTGGATATTTGGAGCACTCTGTGGCCCATAGTGGAAAAGGAAATATCTTCATAAGAAAAATAAACAGAAGCACTTTGAGAAACTTCTCTGTGTTGTATGCAGTCATATCTCAGACATGAAACTTTCTTTGGTACAGGAGTTTTAAAACACTCTTTTTGGAGATTCTGAAAGTAGATATTTGGAGAGACTTGAGGACTACGGTGGAAAAGGAAATATCTTCACAAGAAAACTAGACAGAAACATTCTGAGAAGCTTCTTTGTGTTGTGTGCGTCCATCTCGAAGAGTTGAACCTTTGTTTTGATTGCGCATTTTTGAGGCACTCTTTTTGTAGAATCTTCAAGTGGATATTTGGAGGGTTTGTGGCCTGTGGTGGAAAAGCAAATATATTCACATAAAAACTAGATAGAAGCATTCTGAGAAACTTCTTTGTGATGTGCTCATTCAACTCACAGAGTTGAGCTTTTCTTTTGATTGAGCAGTTTGGAAACAGTCTTTCTGTAGAATCTGCAAGTGGATATTTGGAGCGCATTACGGCCTATAGTGGAAAAGGAAATATATTCACATAAAAACTAGACAGAAGCATTCTGAGAAACTTCTTTGTGATGTGCTCATTCAACTCACAGAGTTGAGCTTTTCTTTTGATTGAGCAGTTTGGAAACAGTCTTTCTGTAGAATCTGCAAGTGGATATTAGGAGTGCATTACGGCCTATAGTGGAAAATGAAATATCTTCACATAAAAACTAGACAGAAACATTATGAGAAACTGCTTTGTGATGCGTGCATTCATCACCAGAGTTGAGTTTCTCTTTTGATTGAACAGTTTTGAAACACTCTTTCTGTAGAATCTGAAAGGGATATTTGGAGCGCTTTGCAGCCTATGGTGTAAAAGGAAACATCTTCCCATAAAAGCTAGACAGAAGCATTCTAAGAAAGTGCTTTGTGACGCGTGCATTCATCTGACAGTGTTGAACCTTTCTTTTGATTGAGCAGTTTTGAAACACTCTTATTGTAGAATCTGCAAGTGGATATTTGGAGAGTTTGAGGCCACTGGTGGAAAAGCAAATATCTTCACATCAAAACTAGACAGAATCATTATAAGTAATCTCTTTGAGATGCGTGCATTCAACTCACAGAGTTGGACGTTTCCTTTGATTGAGCAGTTTGGAAACAGTCTTTTTGCGGTATCTGCAAGCGGATATTTGGAGCACTTTCAGGCCTATAGTAGGAAAGGAAATATCTTCACATAAAAACTAGACAGAAAATTACTGAGAAACTTCGTAATGATGTGTGCATTCATCTCACAGAGTTGAAACTTTCCTGTGATTGAGCAGTTTGGAAACACTCTTTTAGTAGAAAGTGCAAGGGGATATTTGGAGGGTTTTATGGTCTATGGTAGAAAAGGTTATCTTCACATAAAAATAGAAGCATTCTGAGGAACTTCCTGATGTGTGCATTCATCTCAAAGAGTTGAACTTTTCTTTTGATTGAGCAGCTTTGAAAAACTCTTTCTGCAGAATCTGCAAGTTGATATTTGGAAAGCTTTGTGGCCTATAGTAGAAAAGGAAATATCTTTACATAAAACTAGACAGAAGCATTCTGAGAAACTTCTTTGTGATGTGTGCATTCATCTCACAGAGTTGAATCTTTCTTTTGTTTGAGCAGTTTTGAAACTCTCTTTTTGTAGAATCTTCAAGTGGATATTTTCAGCGCTTTGAGGCCTACGGTGGAAAAGAAAATATCTTCACATAAAAACTAGTCAGAAGCATTCTGAGAAACTTCTTTGTGACGTGTGCATTCAACTCATGGAGTTCAACCTTTCTTTTCATTCAGCAGTTTGGAAACAGTCTTTTTACAGTATCTGCAAATGGCTATTTGGAGAGCTTTGAGGCCTATGGTGGAAAAGGAAATCTCTTCCCATAAAAACTAGACAGCAGCATTCTGAGAAACTTATTTGTGATCTGTGCATTCATCTCACAGAGTTGAACCTTTCTTTTGATTCAGCAGTTTTGAAACTGTCGTTTTGTAGAATCTGCAAAGGGATATTTGTGAGCCCATTGAGGCTTCTGGGGAGATAGGAAATATCTTCACATAACAACTAGACAGATACTTTCTGAGAAACTATTTTGTCATGTGTGACTTCAACTCACCGGGTTGAAACTTTCTCTTGATTGAGCAGTTTGGGAACAGTCTTTTTGTAGAATCTGCAAATGAATATTTGGAGCACTTTTGGCCTATGTTGAAAAATGAAGTATCTTTCCATAAAAACTAGGCAGAAGTTTTGGAGAAATTTATTTTGATGTGTGCATTCATCTCACACAGTTGAAATTTTCTTTTGATTGAGCAGTGTGGATACACTCGTTTTGTAGAGTCTGCAAGTGGATATTTGGAGCACTTTCTGGCCTATAGTGAAAAAGGAAATATCTTCACATAAAAACTAGATAGAAGAATTCTGAGAAACTTCCTTTGAATGGGTGCATTCATCTCACACTGTTGAACTTTTTTTTTGATTGAGCACCTTCTAAAGAGTCATTTTGTAGAATCTGCAAAGGAATATTTGTGAGCCCATTGATGCCTCTGGGGAAACAGGAAATATCTTCACATAAAAACGAGACAGAATCTTTCTCAGAAACGTCTTGGTGATGTGTGCATTCATCTCACTGAGTTGAACTTTATTTTGATTGAGCAGTTTGGAAACAGTCTTTTCTAGTATCTGCAAATGTATATTTTAAGCACTCTGAGGCCTACGGTGAAAAAGGAAATATCTTCAATATAAATCAGACAGAAGCATTCATAGAAACTTCTTTGTGATGTGTGCATTCATCTCACCGACTAGAACCTTTCTTTTCATTGAGCAGTTTTGAAACACTCTTTTAGCGGAATCTGCAAGTGTTTATTTGGAGCGCATGAGGAATATGGTGGAAAAGGAATCTTCTTCACTTGAAAACGAGACGGAAACATTCTAAGAAACTTCTCCGTGATGGATGCATTCATTTCACAGAGTTAAACCTTTCCTGTGATTGAGCGGTTTGGAAACAGTAGTTTTTTACAATCTGCAGAAGGATACTTGTGAGCCGATTGAGGTCTATGGGGTGATAAGAAATATGTTCACATAAAAACTAGATAGAAAGTTTCTGAGAAACTGCTTTGTGATATTAGCTTTTATCTCATAGAGTTGAAAATTTCTTTTTATTGAGCAGTTTGGGAACAGTCTTTTTGTAGTATCTGCAAATGGATATTACCAGTGCTTTGAGGCGTATGGTGAAAAAGGAAATATCTTCACATAAAAACAAGGCGGAAGCATTCTGAGAAACTTCTTTTTGATGTCTGCATTCATCTCACAGAGTTGAACCTTTCTTTTGATTGAGCAGTTTTGAAAGGCTCTATTTGTAGGATCTGCAAGTGGATATTTGGAACGCTTTGAGGCCTATAGTGGAAAAGGAAATATCTTCACATAAAAACCTAGAAAGAAGAATTCTGAGAAACTTCCGAGGAAGGTGTATTTTCGTCTCACACTGTTAAACCCGTCTTTTGATTGAGCAGCTTCGATACAGTCATTTAGGAGAATATGAAAGGGAATATTTGAGAGCCCATTGAGGCCTCTGGGGAAATAAGAAATATCTTCACCTAAAAGCTAGACAAAAACTTTCTGAGAAACACCCTTCTGATGTGTGCATTCATCATACACAGTTGAACATTCTTTTGATTGAGCAGTTTGGATACAGTCATTTGTATTATCTGTAAATGGATATTTGGAGTGTATTGAGGCCTATGGTGAAAAAGGAAATATCCTCACATAAAATTCAGATGGAAGCATTCTTAGAAACTCCTTTGTGATGTGTGCATTCATCTCACAGACTTCAAACTTTCTATTGATTGAGCAGTTTTGAAACACTCTTTTTGTAGAATCTGCAAGTCGATATTTGGAGCGCTCTGTGGCCCATAGTGGAAAAGGAAATATCTTCATAAAAAAAATAAACAGAAGCACTTTGAGAAACTTCTCTGTGCTGTATGCAGTCATATCTCAGACATGAAACTTTCTTTGATACAGCAGTTTTAAAACACTCTTTTTGGAGATTCTGAAAGTAGATATTTGAGAGACATGAGGACTATGGTGGAAAAGGAAATATCTTCACACAAAAACTAGACAGAAACATTCTGAGAAGCTTCTTTGTGATGTGTGCATCCATCTCAAAGAGTTGAACCTTTCTTTTGATTGACCATTTTTGAAGCACTCTTTTTGTAGAATCTTCAAGTGGATATTTGGAGTGTTTGTGGCCTGAGGTGGAAAAGGAAATATATTCACATAAAAACTAGATAGAAGCATTCTGAGAAACTTCTTTCTGATGTGCTCATTCAACTCACAGAGTTGAGCTTTTCTTTTGATTGAGCAGTTTGGAAACAGTCTTTTTGTAGAAACTGCAAGTGGATATTTGGAGCGCATTACGGCCTATAGTGGAAAAGGAAATATATTCACATAAAAACTAGACAGAAGCATTCTGAGAAACTTCTTTGTGATGTGCTCATTCAACTCACAGAGTTGAACTTTTCTTTTGTTTGAGCAGTTTGCAAACAGTCTTTCTGTAGAATCTGCAAGTGGATATTAGGAGTGCATTACGGCCTATAGTGGAAAATGAAATATCTTCACATAAAAACCAGACAAAAACATTATGAGAAACTGCTTTGTGATGCGTGCATTCATCACCAGTGTTGAGTTTCTCTTTTGATTGAACAGTTTTGAAACACTCTTTCTGTAGAATCTGAAAGGGATATTTGGAGCGCTTTGCAGCCTATGGTGAAAAAGGAAATATCTTCACATAAAAGCTAGACAGAAGCATTCTAAGAAAGTGCTTTGTGACGTGTGCATTCACCTCACAGTGTTGAACCTTTCTTTTGATTGAGCAGTTTTGAAACACTCTTATTGTAGAATCTGCAAGTGGATATTTGGAGAGTTTGAGGCCACTGGTGGAAAAGCAAATATCTTCACATCAAAACTAGACAGAATCATTATAAGTAATCTCTTTGAGATGCGTGCATTCAACTCACAGAGTTGGACATTTCCTTTGATTGAGCAGTTTGGAAACAGTCTTTTTGCAGTATCTGCAAACGGATATTTGGAGCACTTTCAGGCCTATAGTAGGAAATTAAATATCTTCACATAAAAACTAGACAGAAAATTACTGAGAAACTTCTTAATGATGTGTGCATTCATCTCACAGAGTTGAAACTTTCTTTTGATTGAGCAGTTTGGAAACACTCTTTTAGTAGAAACTGCAAGGGGATATTTGGAGCATTTTGTGGTCTATGGTAGAAAAGGCTATATCTTCACATAAAAATAGAAGCATTTTGAGGAACTTCATGATGTGTGCATTCATCTCAAAGAGTTGAACTTTTCTTTTGATTGAGTAGCTTTGAAAAACTCTTTCTGCAGAATCTGCAAGTTGATATTTGGAGTGCTTTGTGGCCTATAGTAGAAAAGGAAATATCTTTACTTAAAACTAGACAGAAGCATTCTGAGAAACTTCTTTGTGATGTGTGCATTCATCTCACAGAGTTGAATCTTTCTTTTGTTTGAGCAGTTTTGAAACTCTCTTTCTGTAGAATCTTCAAGTGGATATTTTTAGTGCTTTGAGGACTATGGTGGAAAAGAAAATATCTTCACATAAAAACTAGTCAGAAGCATTCTGAGAAACTTCTTTGTGACGTGTGCATTCAACTCATGGAGTTCAACCTTTCTTTTGATTCAGCAGTTTGGAAACAGTCTTTTTACAGTATCTGCAGATGGATATTTGGAGAGCTTTGAGGCCTATGGTGGAAAAGGAAATATCTTCCCATAAAAACTAGACAGCAGCATTCTGAGAAACTTATTTGTGATCTGCGCATTCATCTCACAGAGTTGAACCTTTCTCTTGATTCAGCAGTTTTGAAACTGTCGTTTTGTAGAATCTGCAAAGGAATATTTGTGAGCCCATTGAGGCTTCTGGGGTGATAGGAAATATCTTCACATAAAAACTAGACAGATACTTTCTGAGAAACTATTTTGTCATGTGTGTCTTCTACTCACCGGGTTGAAACTTTCTGTTGATTGAGCAGTTTGGAAACAGTCTTTTTGTAGAATCTGCAAATTGATATTTGGAGTGCTTTTGGCCTACATTGAAAAACGAAATATCTTCCCATAAAAAGTAGGCAGAAGTTTTGGAGAAATTTATTTTGATGTGTGCATTCATCTCACACAGTTGAAATTTTCTTTTGATTGAGCAGTGTGGATACACTCGTTTTGCAGAGTCTGCAAGTGGATATTTGGAGCACTTTGTGGCCTATAGTGAAAAAGGAAATATCTTCACATAAAAACTAGATAGAAGAATTCTGAGAAACTTCCTTTGAATGGGCGCATTCATCTCACACTGTTGAACTTTTTTTTTTGATTGAGCACCTTCTAAACAGTCATTTTGTAGAATATGCAAAGGAATATTTGTGAGCCCATTGATGCCTCTGCGGAAACAGGAAATATCTTCACATAAAAACGAGACAGAATCTTTCTCAGAAACGTCTTGGTGATGTGAGCATTCATCTCACTGAGTTGAACTTTATTTTGATTGAGCAGTTTGGAAACAGTCTTTTCTAGTATCTGCAAATGGATATTTTAAGCACTCTGAGGCCTACGGTGAAAAAGGAAATATCTTCAATATAAATCAGACAGAAGGATTCATAGAAACTTCTTTGTGATGTGTGCATTCATCTCACCGACTAGAACCTTTCTTTTGATTGAGCAGTTTTGAAACACTCTTTTAGCGGAATCTGCAAGTGTTTATTTGGAGCGCATGAGGAATATGGTGGAAAAGGAATCTTCTTCACATAGAAACGAGATGGAAGCATTCTGAGAAACTTCTCTGTGATGGATGCATTCATTTCACAGAGTTAAACCTTTCCTGTGATTGAGCGGTTTGGAAACAGTAGTTTTTTACAATCTGCAGAAGGATACTTGTGAGCCGATTGAGGTCTATGGGGTGATAAGAAATATGTTCACATAAAAAATAGATAGAAAGTTTCCGAGAAACTTCTTTGTGATATTTGCTTTCATCTCATAGAGTTGAAACTTTCTTTTTATTGAGCTGTTTGGGAACAGTCTTTTTGTAGTACCTGCAAATGGATATTACCAGTGCTTTGAGGCCTATGGTGAAAAAGGAAATATCTTCACATAAAAACAAGGCAGAAGCATTCTGAGAAACTTCTTTTTGATGTCTGCATTCATCTCACAGAGTTGAACCTTTCTTTTGATTGTGCAGTTTTGAAACGCTCTATTTGTAGTATCTGCAAGTGGATATTTGGAACGCTTTGAGGCCTATAGTGGAAAAGGAAATATCTTCACATAAAAACCTAGAAAGAAGAATTCTGAGAAACTTCCTAGGAATGTGTGCTTTCATCTCACACTGTTGAACCTTTCTTTTGATTGAGCAGCTCCGATATAGTCGTTTAGTAAAATCTGAAAGAGAATATTTGAGAGCCCATTGCGGCCTCTAGGGAAATAGGAAGTATCTTCACCTAAAAACTAGACACAAACTTTCTGAGAAACTTCCTTGTGATATGTGCATTCGTCACACAGAGTTGAACTTCCTTTTGATTGGGCAGTTTGGAAACAGTCATTTGTATTATCTGTAAATGGATATTTGGAGTGTATTGAGGCCTGTGGTGAAAAACGAAATTTCTTCACATAAAAATCACATGGAAGCATTCTCAGAAACTCCCTTGTGATGTGTGCACTCATCTCACAGACTTCAAACTTTCTATTGATTGAGCAGTTTTGAAACACTCTTTTTGTAGAATCTGCAAGTGGATATTTGGAGCGCTCTGTGGCCCATAGTGGAAAAGGAAATATCTTCATAAAAAAAATAAACAGAAGCACTTTGAGAAACTTCTCTGTGTTGTATGCAGTCATATCTCAGACATGAAACTTTCTTTGGTACAGCAGTTTTAAAACACTCTTTTTGGAGATTCTGAAAGTAGATAATTGGAGAGACTTGAGGACTACGGTGGAAAAGGAAATATCTTCACAAAAATACTAGACAGAAACATTCTGAGAAGCTTCTTTGTGATGTGTGCGTCCATCTCGAAGAGTTGAACCTTTCTTTTGATTGAGTATTTTTGAAGCACTCTTTTTGTAGAATCTTCAAGTGGATATTTGGAGGGTTTGTGGCCTGTGGTGGAAAAGGAAATATATTCACATAAAAACTAGATAGAAGCATTCTGAGAAACTTCTTTGTGATGTGCTCATTCAATTCACAGAGTTGAGCTTTTCTTTTGATTGAGCAGTTTGGAATCAGTCTTTTTGTAGAATCTGCAAGTGGATATTTGGAGCGCATGACGGCCTATAGTGGAAAAGGAAATATATTCACATAAAAACTAGACAGAAGCATTCTGAGAAACTTTTTATGATGTGCTCATTCAACTCACAGAGTTGAACTTTTCTTTTGTTTGAGCAGTTTGCAAACAGTCTTTTTGTAGAATCTGCAAGTGGATATTAGGAGTGCATTACGGCCTATAGTGGAAAATGAAATAACTTCACATAAAAAATAGACAGAAACATTATGAGAAACTGCTCTGTGATGCGTGCATTCATCACCAGAGTTGAATTTCTCTTTTGATTGAACAGTTTTGAAACACTCTCTCTGTAGAATCTGAAAGGGATATTTGGAGCGCTTTGCAGCCTATGGTGAAAAAGGAAATATCTTCAAATAAAAGCTAGACAGAAGCATTCTAAGAAAGTGCATTATGACGTGTGCATTCATCTCACAGTGTTGAACCTTTCTTTTGATTGAGCAGTTTTGAAACACTCTTATTGTAGAATCTGCAAGTGGATATTTGCAGAGTTTGAGGCCACTGGTGGAAAAGCAAATATCTTCACATCAAAACTAGACAGAATCATTATAAGTAATCTCTTTGAGATGCGTGCATTCAACTCACAGAGTTGGACATTTCCTTTGATTGAGCAGTGTGGAAACAGTCTTTTTGCAGTATCTGCAAACGGATATTTGGAGCACTTTCAGGCCTATAGTAGGAAAGGAAATATCTTCACATAAAAACTAGACAGGAAATTACTGAGAAACTTCTTAATGATATGTGCATTCATCTCACAGAGTTGAAACTTCTTTTGATTGAGCAGTTTGGAAACACTCTTTTAGTAGAAACTGCAAGGGGATATTTGGAGCGTTTTGTGGTCTATGGTAGAAAAGGCTATATCTTCACATAAAAATAGAAGCATTCTGAGGAACTTCATGATGTGTGCATTCATCTCAAAGAGTTTAACTTGTCTTTTGACTGAGCAGCTTTGAAAAACTCTTTCTGCAGAATCTGCAAGTTGATATTTGGAGTGCTTTGTGGCCTATAGTAGAAAAGGAAATATCTTTACATAAAACTAGACAGAAGCATTCTGAGAAACTTCTTTGTGATGTGTGCATTCATCTCACAGAGTTGAATCTTTCTTTTGTTTGAGCAGTTTTGAAACTCTTTCTGTAGAATCTTCAAGTGGATATTTTCAGCGCTTTGAGGCCTATGGTGGAAAAGAAATTATCTTCACATAAAAACTAGTCAGAAGCATTCTGAGAAACTTCTTTGTGACGTGTGCATTCAACTCATGGAGTTCAACCTTTCTTTTGATTCAGCAGTTTGGAAACAGTCTTTTTACAGTATCTGCAAATGGCTATTTGGAGAGCTTTGAGGCCTATGGTGTAAAAGGAAATCTCTTCCCATAAAAACTAGACAGCAGCATTCTGAGAAACTTATTTGTGATCTGTGCATTCATCTCACAGAGTTGAACCTTTCTTTTGATTCAGCAGTTTTGAAACTGTCGTTTTGTAGAATCTGCAAAGGAATATTTGTGAGCCCATTGAGGCTTCCTGGGGTGATAGGAAATATCTTCACATAAAAACTAGACAGAAGTTTTGGAGAAATTTATTTTGATGTGTGCATTCATCTCACACAGTTGAAATTTTCTTTTGATTGAGCAGTGTGGATACACTCGTTTTGTAGAGTCTGCAAGTGGATATTTGGAGCACTTTGTGGCCTATAGTGAAAAAGGAAATATCTTCACATAAAAACTAGACAGAAGAATTCTGAGAAACTTCCTTTGAATGTGCGCATTTATCTCACAGTGTTGAACCTTTTTTTGATTGAGCAGCTTCTAAACAGTCATTTTGTAGAATATGCAAAGGAATATTTTTGAGCCCATTGATGCCTCTGGGGAAATAGGAAATATCTTCAAATAAAAACTAGACAGAATCTTTCTCAGAAACGTCTTGGTGATGTGTGCATTCATCTCACTGAGTTGAACTTTATTTTGATTGAGCAGTTTGGAAACAGTCTTTTCTAGTATCTGCAAATGGATATTTTAAGCACTCTGAGGCCTACGGTGAAAAAGGAAATATCTTCAATATAAACCAGACAGAAGCATTCATAGAAACTTCTTTGGGATGTGTACATTCATCTCACCGACTAGAACCTTTCTTTTGATTGAGCAGTTTTGAAACACTCTTTTAGCGGAATCTGCAAGTGTTTATTTGGAGCGCATGAGGAATATGGTGGAAAAGGAATCTTCTTCACATAAAAACGAGACGGAAGCATTCTTAGAAACTTCTCTGTGATGGATGCATTCATTTCACAGAGTTAAACCTTTCCTGTGATTGAGCGGTTTGGAAACAGTAGTTTTTTACAATCTGCAGAAGGATACTTGTGAGCCGATTGAGGTCTATGGGGTGATAAGAAATATGTTCACATAAAAACTAGATAGAAAGTTTCTGAGAAACTTCTTTGTGATATTTGCTTTTATCTCCTAGAGTTGAAACTTTCTTTTTATTGAGAAGTTTGGGAACAGTCTTTTTGTAGTATCTACAAATGGATATTACCAGTGCTTTGAGGCCTATGGTGGAAAAGGAAATATCTTCACATAAAAACAAGGCAGAAGCATTCTGAGAAACTTCTTTTTGATGTCTGCATTCATCTCACAGAGTTGAACCTTTCTTTTGATTGAGCAGTTTTGAAACGCTCTATTTGTAGTATCTGCAATTGGATATTTGGAACGCTTTGAGGCCTATAGTGGAAAAGGAAATATCTTCACATAAAAAACTAGAAAGAAGAATTCTGAGAAACTTCCTAGGAAGGTGTATTTTCGTCTCACACTGTTAAACCCGTCTTTTGATTGAGCAGCTTCGATACAGTCATTTAGTAGAATATGAAAGGGAATATTTGAGAGCCCATTGAGGCCTCTGGGGAAATAAGACATATCTTCACCTAAAAACTAGACAAAATCTTTCTGAGAAACACCCTTGTGATGTGTGCATTCATCATACACAGTTGAACTTTCTTTTGATTGAGCAGTTTGGATACAGTCATTTGTATTATCTGTAAATGGATATTTGGAGTGTACTGAGGCCTATGGTGAAAAAGGAAGTATCCTCACATAAAATTCAGATGGAAGCATTCTTAGAAACTCCTTTGTGATGTGTGCACTCATCTCACAGACTTCAAACTTTCTATTGATTGAGCAGTTTTGAAACACTCTTTTTGTAGAATCTGCCAGTGGATACTTGGAGCGCTCTGTGGCCCATAGTGGAAAAGGAAATATCTTCATAAAAAAAATAAACAGAAGCACTTTGAGAACTTTCTCTGGGTTGTATGCAGTCATATCTCAGACATGAAACTTTCTTTGGTACAGCAGTTTTAAAACACTCTTTTTGGAGATTCTGAAAGTAGATATTTGGAGAGACTTGAGGACTACGGTGGAAAAGGAAATATCTTCACAAAAAAACTAGACAGAAACATTCTGAGAAGCGTCTTTTTGATATGTGCATCCATCTCAAAGAGTTGAACCTTTCTTTTGATTGAGCATTTTTGAAGCACTCTTTTTGTAGAATCTTCAAGTGGATATTTGGAGAGTTTGTGGCCTGTGGTGGAAAAGGAAATATATTCACATAAAAACTAGATAGAAGCATTCTGAGAAACTTCTTTGTGATGTGCTCATTCAACTCACAGAGTTGAGCTTTTCTTTTGATTGAGCAGTTGGGAAACAGTCTTTTTGTAGAATCTGCAAGTGGATATTTGGAGCGCATTACGGCCTATAGTGGAAAAGGAAATATATTCACATAAAAACTAGACAGAAGCATTCTGAGAAACTTCTTTGTGATGTGCTCATTCAACTCACAGAGTTGAACTTTTCTTTTGTTTGAGCAGTTTGCAAACAGTCTTTTTGTAGAATCTGCAAGTGGATATTAGGAGTGCATTATGGCCTATAGTGGAGAATGAAATATCTTCACATAAAAACTAGACAGAAACATTATGAGAAACTGCTTTGTGATGTGTGCATTCATCACCAGAGTTGAGTTTCTCTTTTGATTGAACAGTTTTCAAACACTCTTTCTGTAGAATCTGAAAGGGATATTTGGAGCGCTTTGCAGCCTATGGTGAAAAAGGAAATATCTTCACATAAAAGCTAGACAGAAGCATTCTAAGAAAGTGCTTTGTGACGTGTGCATTCATCTCACAGTGTTGAAGCTTTCTTTTGATTGAGCAGTTTTGAAACACTCTTATTGTAGAATCTGCAAGTGGATATTTGGAGAGTTTGAGGTCACTGGTGGAAAAGCAAATATCTTCACATCAAAACTAGACAGAATCATTATAAGTAATCTCTTTGAGATGCGTGCATTCAACTCACAGAGTTGGACATTTCCTTTGATTGAGCAGTTTGGAAACAGTCTTTATGCAGTATCTGCAAACGGATATTTGGAGCACTTTCAGGCCTATAGTAGGAAAGGAAATATCTTCACATAAAAACTAGACAGCAAATTACTGAGACACTACTTAATGTTGTGTGCATTCATCTCACAGAGTTGAAACTTTCTTTTGATTGAGCCGTTTGGAAACACTCTTTTAGTAGAAACTGCAAGGGGATATTTGGAGCGTTTTGTGGTCTATGGTAGAAAAGGATATATCTTCACATAAAAATAGAAGCATTCTGAGGAACTTCATGATGTGTGCATTCATCTCAAAGAGTTGAACTTTTCTTTTGATTGAGCAGCTTTGAAAAACTCTTTCTGCAGAATCTGCAAGTTGATATTTGGAATGCTTTGTGGCCTATAGTAGAAAAGGAAATATCTTTACATAAAACTAGACAGAAGCATTCTGAGAAACTTCTTTGTGATGTGTGCATTCATCTCACAGAGTTGAATCTTTCTTTTGTTTGAGCAGTTTTGAAACTCTCTTTCTGTAGAATCTTCAAGTGAATATTTTCAGCGCTTTGAGGCCTATGGTGGAAAAGAAAATATCTTCACATAAAAACTAGTCAGAAGCATTCTGAGAAACTTCTTTGTGACGTGTGCATTCAACTCATGGAGTTCAACATTTCTTTTGATTCAGCAGTTTGGAAACAGACTTTTCACAGTATCTGCAAATGGATATTTGGAGAGCTTTGAGGCCTATGGTGGAAAAGGAAATCTCTTCCCATAAAAACTAGACAGCAGCATTGTGAGAAACTTATTTGTGATCTGTGCATTCATCTCACAGTGTTGAACCTTTCTTTTGATTCAGCAGTTTTGAAACTGTCGTTTTGTAGAATCTGCAAAGGAATATTTGTGAGCCCATTGAGGCTTCTGGGGTGATAGGAAATATCTTCACATAAAAACTAGACAGATACTTCCTGAGAAACTATTTTGTCATGTGTGACTTCTACTCACCGGGTTGAAACTTTCTCTTGATTGAGCAGTTTGGAAACAGTCTTTTTGTAGAATCTGCAAATTGATATTTGGAGTGCTTTTGGCCTACGTTGAAAAACGAAATATCTTCCCCTAAAAAGTAGGCAGAAGTTTTGGAGAAATTTATTTTGATGTGTGCGTTCATCTCACACAGTTGAAATTTTCTTTTGATTGAGCAGTGTGGATACACTCGTTTTGTAGAGTCTGCAAGTGGATATTTGGAGCACTTTGTGGCCTATAGTGAAAAAGGAAATATCTTCACATAAAAACTAGATAGAAGAATTCTGAGAAACTTCCTTTGAATGGGCGCATTCATCTCACACTGTTGAACTTTTTTTTTCATTGAGCACCTTCTAAACAGTCATTTTGTAGAATATGCAAAGGAATATTTGTGAGCCCATTGATGCCTCTGGGGAAACAGGAAATATCTTCACATAAAAACGAGACAGAATCTTTCTCAGAAACGTCTTGGTGATGTGTGCATTCATCTCACTGAGTTGAACTTTACTTTGATTGAGCAGTTTGGAAACAGTCTTTTCTAGTATATGCAAATGGATATTTTAAGCACTCTGAGGCCTACGGTGAAAAAGGAAATATCTTCAATATAAATCAGACAGAAGCATTCATAGAAACTTCTTTGTGATGTGTGCATTCATCTCACCGACTAGAACCTTTCTTTTGATTGAGCAGTTTTGAAACACTCTTTTAGCGGAATCTGCAAGTGTTTATTTGGAGCGCATGAGGAATATGGTGGAAAAGGAATCTTCTTCACATAAAAACGAGACGGAAGCATTCTGAGAAACTTCTCTGTGATGGATGCATTCATTTCACAGAGTTAAACCTTTCCTGTGATTGAGCGGTTTGGAAACAGTAGATGTTTATAATCTGCAGAAGGATACTTGTGAGCCGATTGAGGTCTATGGGGTGATAAGAAATATGTTCACATAAAAACTAGATAGAAAGTTTCTGAGAAACTTCTTTGTGATATTTGCTTTTATCTCATAGAGTTGAAACTTTCTTTTTATTGAGCAGTTTGGGAACAGTCTTTTTGTAGTATCTGCAAATGGATATTACCAGTTCTTTGAGGCCTGTGGTGAAAAAGGAAATATCTTCACATAAAAACAAGGCAGAAGCATTCTGAGAAACTTCTTTGTGATGTCTGCATTCATCTCACAGAGTTGAACCTTTCTTTTGATTGAGCAGTTTTGAAACGCTCTATTTGTAGTATCTGCAAGTGGATATTTGGAACGATTTGAGGCCTATTGTCGAAAAGGAAATATCTTCACATAAAAAACTAGAAAGAAGAATTCTGAGAAACTTCCTAGGAAGGTGTATTTTCGTCTCACACTGTTAAACCCGTCTTTTGATTGAGCAACTTCGATACAGTCATTTAGTAGAATATAAAAGGGAATATTTGAGAGCCCATTGAGGCCTCTGGGGAAAAAAGAAATATCTTCACCTAAAAACTAGACAAAATCTTTCTGAGAAACACCCTTGTGATGTGTGCATTCATCATACACAGTTGAACTTTCTTTTGATTGAGCAGTTTGGATACAGTCATTTGTATTATCTGTAAATGGATGTTTGGAGTGTACTGAGGCCTATGGTGAGAAAGGAAATATCCTCACATAAAATTCAGATGGAAGCATTCTTAGAAACTCCTTTGTGATGTGTGCATTCATCTCACAGACTTCAAACTTTCTATAGATTGAGCAGTTTTGAAACACTCTTTTTGTAGAATCTGCCAGTGGATATTTGGAGCGCTCTGTGGCCCATAGTGGAAAAGGAAATATCTTCATAAAAAAAATAAACAGAAGCACTTTGAGAAACTTCTCTGTGTTGTATGCAGTCATATCTCAGACATGAAACTTTCTTTGGTACAGGAGTTTTAAAACACTCTTTTTGGAGATTCTGAAAGTAGATATTTGGAGAGACTTGAGGACTACGGTGGAAAAGGAAATATCTTCACAAAAAAACTAGACAGAAACATTCTGAGAAGCTTCTTTGTGATGTGTGCATCCATCTCAAAGAGTGGAACCTTTCTTTTGATTGAGCATTTTTGAAGCACTCTTTTTGTAGAATCTTCAAGTGGATATTTGGAGTGTTTGTGGCCTGTGGTGGAAAAGGAAATATATTCACATAAAAACTAGATAGAAGCATTCTGAGAAACTTCTTTCTGATGTGCTCATTCAACTCACAGAGTTGAGCTTCTCTTTTGATTGAGCAGTTTGGAAACAGTCTTTTTGTAGAAACTGCAAGTGGATATTTGGAGCGCATTACGGCCTATAGTGGAAAAGGAAATATATTCACATAAAAACTAGACAGAAGCATTCTGAGAAACTTCTTTGTGATGTGCTCATTCAACTCACAGAGTTGAACTTTTCTTTTGTTTGAGCAGTTTGCAAACAGTCTTTCTGTAGAATCTGCAAGTGGATATTAGGAGTGCATTACGGCCTATAGTGGAAAAGGAAATATCTTCACATAAAAACTAGACAGACAAACATGATGAGAAACTGCTTTGTGATGCGTGCATTCATCACCAGAGTTGAGTTTCTCTTTTGATTGAACAGTTTTGAAACACTCTTTCTGTAGAATCTGAAAGGGATATTTGGAGCGCTTTGCAGCCTATGGTGAAAAAGGAAATATCTTCACATAAAAGCTAGACAGAAGCATTCTAAGAAAGTGCATTGTGACGTGTGCATTCATCTCACAGTGTTGAACCTTTCTTTTGATTGAGCAGTTTTGAAACACTCTTATTGTAGAATCTGCAAGTGGATATTTGCAGAGTTTGAGGCCACTGGTGGAAAAGCAAATATCTTCACATCAAAACTAGACAGAACCATTCTGAGAAATCTCTTTGAGATGCGTGCATTCAACTCATAGAGTTGGACCTTTCCTTTGATTGAGCAGTTTGGAAGCAGTCTTTTTGCAGTATCTGCAAATGGATATTTGGAGCACTTTCAGGCCTATAGTAGGAAAGGAAATATCTTCAAATAAAAACTAGACAGAAAATTACTGAGAAACTTCTTAATGATGTGTGCATTCATCTCACAGAGTTGAAACTTTCCTTTGATTGAGCAGTTTGGAAACACTCTTTTAGTAGAAACTGCAAGGGGATATTTGGAGCGTTTTATGGTCTATGGTAGAAAAGGTTATCTTCACATAAAAATAGAAGCATTCTGAGGAACTTCCTGATGTGTGCATTCATCTCAAAGAGTTGAACTTTTCTTTTGATTGAGCAGCTTTGAAAAACTCTTTCTGCAGAATCTGCAAGTTGATATTTGGAGTGCTTTGTGGCCTATAGTAGAAAAGGAAATATCTTTACATAAAACTAGACAGAAGCATTCTGAGAAATTTCTTTCTGATGTGTGCATTCATCTCACGAAGTTGAACCATTCTTTTAATTGAGCAGTTTTGAAACACACTTTTTGCAGTATCTTCAAGTGGATATTTGTAGAGCTTTGAGGCCTATGGTAGAAAAGGAAACATTGTCACATAAAAACTAGACAGAAGCATTCTGAGAAACTTCTTTGTGACGTGTGCATTCAACTCATGGAGTTCAACCTTTCTTTTGATTCAGCAGTTTGGAAACAGTCTTTTTACAGTATCTGCAAATGGCTATTTGTAGAGCTTTGAGGCCTATGGTGGAAAAGGAATTATCTTCCCATAAAAACTAGACAGCAGCATTCTGAGGAACTTATTTGTGATCTGTGCATTCATCTCCCAGAGTTGAACCTTTCTTTTGATTCAGCAGTTTTGAAACTGCCTTTTTGTAGAATCTGCAAAGGAATATTTGTGAGCCCATTGAGGCTTCTGGGGTGATAGGAAATATCTTCACGTAAAAACTAGACAGATACTTTCTGAGAAACTATTTTGTCATGTGTGACTTCAACTCACCGAGTTGAAACTTTCTCTTGATTGAGCAGTTTGGAAACAGTCTTTTTGTAGAATCTGCAAATTGATATTTGGAGCGCATTTGGCCTATGTTGAAAAACGAAATATCTTCCCATAAAAAGTAGGCAGAAGTTTTGGAGAAATTTATTTGTGATGTGTGCATTCATCTCACACAGTTGAAATTTTCTTTTGATTGAGCAGTGTGGATACACTCTTTTTGTAGAGTCTGCAAGTGGATATTTGGAGCACTTTGTGGCCTATAGTGAAAAAGGAAATATCTTCACATAAAAACTAGACAGAAGAATTCTGAGAAACTGCCTTTGAATGGGCGCATTCATCTCACACTGTTGAACTTTTTTTTTGATTGAGCACCTTCTAAACAGTCATTTTGTAGAATATGCAAAGGAATATTTGTGAGCCCATTGATGCCTCTGGGGAAACAGGAAATATCTTCACATAAAAACGAGACAGAATCTTTCTCAGAAACGTCTTGGTGATGTGTGCATTCATCTCACTGAGTTGAACTTTACTTTGATTGAGCAGTTTGGAAACAGTCTTTACTAGTATCTGCAAATGGATATTTTAAGCACTCTGAGGCCTACGGTGAAAAAGGAAATATCTTCAATACAAATCAGACAGAAGCATTCATAGAAACTTCTTTGTGATGTGTGCATTCATCTCACCGACTAGAACCTTTCTTTTGATTGAGCAGTTTTGAAACACTCTTTTAGCGGAATCTGCAAGTGTTTCTTTGGAGCGCATGAGGAATATGGTGGAAAAGGAATCTTCTTCACATGAAAACGGACGGAAGCATTCTCAGAAACTTCTCTGTGATGGATGCATTCATTTCACAGAGTTAAACCTTTCCTGTGATTGAGCGGTTGAGAAAGAGTAGTTTTTTACAATCTGCAGAAGGATACTTGTGAGCCGATTGAGGTCTATGGGGTGATAAGAAATATGTTCACATAAAAACTAGATAGAAAGTTTCTGAGAAACTTCTTTGTGATATTTGCTTTTATCTCCTAGAGTTGAAACTTTCTTTTTATTGAGCAGTTTGGGGACAGTCTTTTTGTAGTATCTGCAAATGGATATTACCAGTGCTTTGAGGCCTATGGTGGAAAAGGAAATATCTTCACATAAAAACAACGCGGAAGCATTCTGAGAAACTTCTTTTTGATGTCTGCATTCATCTCACAGAGTTGAACCTTTCTTTTGATTGAGCAGTTTTGAAACGCTCTATTTGTGGTATCTGCAAGTGGATATTTGGAACGCTTTGAGGCCTATAGTGGAAAAGGAAATATCTTCACATAAAAAACTAGAAAGAAGAATTCTGAGAAACTTCCTAGGAAGGTGTATTTTCGTCTCACACTGTTAAACCCGTCTTTTGATTGAGCAGCTTCGATACAGTCATTTAGTAGAATATGAAAGGGAATATTTGAAAGCCCATTGAGGCCTCTGGGGAAATAAGAAATATCTTCACCTAAAAACAAGACAAAATCTTTCTGAGAAACACCCTTGTGATGTGTGCATTCATCATACAGAGTTGAACTTTCTTTTGATTGAGCAGTTTGGATACAGTCATTTGTATTATCTGTAAATGGATATTTGGAGTGTACTGAGGCCTATGGTGAAAAAGGAAATATCCTCACATAAAATTCAGATGGAAGCATATTGAGAAACTTCTCTGTGATGTGTCCATTCATCTCATAGAGTAAAATCTTCCTTTTGATTGAGCAGGTTTGAAACACTCTTTTTGTAGAATCTGCAAGTGGATATTTGGAGCGCTCTGTGGCCCATAGTGGAAAAGGAAATATCTTCATAAGAAAAATAAACAGAAGCACTTTGAGAAAGTTCTCTGTGTTGTATGCAGTCATATCTCAGACATGAAACTTTCTTTGGTACAGCAGTTTTAAAACACTCTTTTTGGAGATTCTGAAAGTAGATATTTGGAGAGACTTGAGGACTACGGTGGAAAAGGAAATATCTTCACAAAAAAACTAGACAGAAACATTCTGAGAAGCTTCTTTGTGATGTGTGCGTCCATCTCGAAGAGTTGAACCTTTCTTTTGATTGAGCATTTTTGAAGCACTTTTTTTGTAGAATCTTCAAGTGGTTATTTGGAGTGTTTGTGGTCTCTGGTGGAAAAGGAAATATATTCACATAAAAACTAGATAGAAGCATTCTGAGAAACTTTTTTGTGATGTGCTCATTCAACTCACAGAGTTGAGATTTTCTTTTGATTGAGCAGTTTGGAAACAGTCTTTTTGTAGAATCTGCCAGTGGATATTTGGAGCGCATGACGGCCTATAGTGGAAAAGGAAATATATTCACATGAAAACTAGACAGAAGCATTCTGAGAAACTTCTTTGTGATGTGCTCATTCAACTCACAGAGTTGAGCTTTTCTTTTGATTGAGCAGTTTGGAAACAGTCTTTTTGTAGAATCTGCAAGTGGATATTTGGAGCGCATGACGGCCTTTAGTGGAAAAGGAAATATATTCACATAAAAACTAGACAGAAACATGATGAGAAACTGCTTTGTGATGCGTGCATTCATCACCAGAGTTGAGTTTCTCTTTTGATTGAACAGTTTTGAAACACTCTTTCTGTAGAATCTGAAAGGGATATTTGGAGCGCTTTGCAGCCTATGGTGAAAAAGGAAATATCTTCACATAAAAGATAGACAGAAAGCATTCTGAGAAAGTGCTTTGTGAGGTGTACATTCATCTCACAGAAGTTAAACCTTTCTTTTGATTGAGCAGTTTTGAAACACTCTTATTGTACAATCTGCAAGTGGATATTTGGAGAGTTTGAGGCCACTGGTGGAAAAGCAAATATCTTCACATAAAAACTAGACAGAATCATTAGAAGTAATCTCTTTGAGATGCGTGCATTCAACTCACAGAGTTGGACATTTCCTTTGATTGAGCAGTGTGGAAACAGTCTTTTTGCAGTATCTGCAAACGGATATTTGCAGCACTTTCAGGCCTATAGTAGGAAAGGAAATATCTTCACATAAAAACTAGACAGAAAATTACTGAGAAACTCCTTAATGATGTGTGCATTCATCTCACAGAGTTGAAACTTTCTTTCCATTGAGCCGTTTGGAAACACTCTTTTAGTAGAAACTGCAAGGGGATATTTGGAGCGTTTTGTGGTCTATGGTAGAAAAGGATATATCTTCACATAAAAATAGAAGCATTCTGAGGAACTTCATGATGTGTGCATTCATCTCAAAGTGTTGAACTTTTCTTTTGATTGAGCAGCTTTGAAAAACTCTTTCTGCAGAATCTGCAAGTTGATATTTGGAGTGCTTTGTGGCCTAGAGTAGAAAAGGAAATATCTTTACATAAAACTAGACAGAAGCATTCTAAGAAAGTGCTTTGTGAAGTGTGCATTCATCTCACAGAGTTGAATCATTCTTTTGTTTGACCAGTTTTGAAACTCTCTTTCTGTAGAATCTTCAAGTGGATATTTTCAGCGCTTTGAGGCCTATGGTGGAAAAGAAAATATCTTCACATAAAAACTAGTCAGAAGCTTTCTGAGAAACTTCTTTGTGATGTGTGCATTCAACTCATGGAGTTGAACCTTTCCTTTGATTCAGCAGTTTGGAAACAGTCTTTTTGTAGTATCTGCAAATGGATATTTGGAGAGCTTTGAGGCCTATGGTGGAAAAGAAAATATCTTCACATAAAAACTAGACAGATACATCCTGAGAAACTATTTTGTCATGTGTGACTTCTACTCACCGGGTTGAAACTTTCTCTTGATTGAGCAGTTTGGAAACAGTAGTTTTTTACAGTCTGCAGAAGGATACTTGTGAGCCGATTGAGGTCTATGGGGTGATAGGAAATATGTTCACATAAAAACTAGATAGAAGTTTTGTAAAAATTTATTTAGATGTGTGCATTCATCTCACACAGTTGAAATTTTCTTTTGATTGGGCAGTGTGGATACACTCGTTTTGTAGGGTCTACAAGTGGATATTTGGAGCACTTTGTGGCCTATAGTGAAAAAGGAAATATCTTCACATAAAAACTAGATAGAAGAATTCTGAGAAACTTCCTTTGAATGGGCGCATTCATCTCACACTGTTGAACTTTTTTTTTGATTGAGCACCTTCTAAACAGTCATTTTGTAGAATATGCAAAGGAATATTTGTGAGCCCATTGATGCCTCTGCGGAAACAGGAAATATCTTCACATAAAAACGAGACAGAATCTTTCTCAGAAACGTCTTGGTCATGTTTGCATTCATCTCACTGAGTTGAACTTTATTTTGATTGAGCAGTTTGGAAAGTGTCTTTTCTAGTATCTGCAAATGGATATTTTAAGCACTCTGAGGCCTACGGTGAAAAAGGAAATATCTTCAATATAAATCAGACAGAAGCATTCATAGAAACTTCTTTGTGATGTGTGCATTCATCTCACCGACTAGAACCTTTCTTTTGATTGAGCAGTTTTGAAACACTCTTTTAGCGGAATCTGCAAGTGTTTCTTTGGAGCGCATGAGGAATATGGTGGAAAAGGAATCTTCTTCACATGAAAACGAGACGGAAGCATTCTGAGAAACTTCTCTGTGATGGATGCATTCATTTCACAGAGTTAAACCTTTCCTGTGATTGAGCGGTTTGGAAACAGTAGTTTTTTACAGTCTGCAGAAGGATACTTGTGAGCCGATTGAGGTCTATGGGATGATAAGAAATATGTTCACATAAAAACTAGATAGAAAGTTTCTGAGAAACTTCTTTGTGATATTTGCTTTTATCTCCTAGAGTTGAAACTTTCTTTTTATTGAGCAGTTTGGGAACAGTCTTTTTGTAGTATCTGCAAATGGATATTACCAGTGCTTTGAGGCCTATGGTGAAAAAGGAAATATCTTCTCATAAAAACAAGGCAGAAGCATTCTGAGAAACTTCTTTTTGATGTCTGCATTCATCTCACAGAGTTGAACCTTTCTTTTGATTGAGCAGTTTTGAAACGCTCTATTTGTAGTATCTGCAAGTGGATATTTGGAACGCTTTGAGGCCTATAGTGGAAAAGGAAATATCTTCACATAAAAAACTAGAAAGAAGAATTCTGAGAAACTTCCTAGGAAGGTGTATTTTCGTCTCACACTGTTAAACCCGTCTTTTGATTGAGCAGCTTCGATACACTCATTTAGTAGAATATGAAAGGGAATACTTGAGAGCCCATTGAGGCCTCTGGGGAAATAAGAAATATCTTCACCTAAAAACTAGACAAAATCTTTCTGAGAAACACCCTTGTGATGTGTGCATTCATCATGCACAGTTGAACTTTCTTTTGATTGAGCAGTTTGGATACAGTCATTTGTATTATCTGTAAATGGATATTTGGAGTGTACTGAGGCCTATGGTGAAAAAGGAAATATCCTCACATAAAATTCAGATGGAAGCATTCTTAGAAACTCCTTTGTGATGTGTGCATTCATCTCACAGACTTCAAACTTTCTATAGATTGAGCAGTGTTGAAACACTCTTTTTGTAGAATCTGCCAGTGGATATTTGGAGCGCTCTGTGGCCAATAGTGGAAAAGGAAATATCTTCATAAAAAAAATAAACAGAAGCACTTTGAGAAAGTTCTCTGTGTTGTATGCAGTCATAAAATCAGACATGAAACTTTCTTTGGTACAGCAGTTTTGAAACACTCTTTTTGGAGATTCTGAAAGTAGATATTTGGAGAGACTTGAGGACTACGGTGGAAAAGGAAATATCTTCACAAAAAAACTAGACAGAAACATTCTGAGAAGCTTCTTTGTGATGTGTGCGTCCATCTCGAAGAGTTGAACCTTTCTTTTGATTGAGCATTTTTGAAGCACTCTTTTTGTAGAATCTTCAAGTGGATATTTGGAGGGTTTGTGGCCTGTGGTGGAAAAGGAAATATATTCACATAAAAACTAGATAGAAGCATTCTGAGAAACTTCTTTGTGATGTGCTCATTCAACTCACAGAGTTGAGCTTTTCTTTTGATTGAGCAGTTTGGAAACACTCTTTTTGTAGAATCTGCAGGTGGATATTTGGAGCGCATTATGGCCTATAGTGGAAAAGGAAATATATTCACATAAAAACTAGACAGAAGCATTCTGAGAAACTTCTTTGTGATGTGCTCATTCAACTCACAGAGTTGAACTTTTCTTTTGTTTGAGCAGTTTGCAAACAGTCTTTCTGTAGAATCTGCAAGTGGATATTAGGAGTGCCTTACGGCCTATAGTGGAAAATGAAATATCTTCACATAAAAACTAGACAGAAACATTATGAGAAACTGCTTTGTGATGCGTGCATTCATCACCAGAGTTGAGTTTCTCTTTTGATTGAACAGTTTTGAAACACTCTTTCTGTAGAATCTGAAAGGGATATTTGCAGCGCTTTGCAGCCTATGGTGAAAAAGGAAATATCTTCACATAAAAGCTAGACAGAAGCATTCTAAGAAAGTGCTTTGTGACGTGTGCATTCATCTCACAGTGTTGAACCTTTCTTTTGATTAAGCAGTTTTGAAACACTCTTATTGTAGAATCTGCAAGTGGATATTTGGAGAGTTTGAGGCCACTGGTGGAAAAGCAAATATCTTCACATCAAAACTAGACAGAATCATTATAAGTAATCTCTTTGAGATGCGTGCATTCAACTCACAGAGTTGGACATTTCCTTTGATTGAGCAGTTTGGAAACAGTCTTTTTGCAGTATCTGCAAACGGATATTTGGAGCACTTTCAGGCCTATAGTAGGAAAGGAAATATCTTCACATAAAAACTAGACACAAAATTACTGAGAAACTTCTTAATGATGTGTGCATTCATCTCACAGAGTTGAAACTTTCTTTTGATTGAGCCGTTTGGAAACACTCTTTTAGTAGAAACTGCAAGGGGATATTTGGAGAGTTTTGTGGTCTATGGTAGAAAACGATATATCTTCACATAAAAATAGAAGCATTCTGAGGAACTTCATGATGTGTGCATTCATCTCAAAGAGTTGAACTTTTCTTTTGATTGAGCAGCTTTGAAAAACTCTTTCTGCAGAATCTGCAAGTTGATATTTGGAGTGCTTTGTGGCCTATAGTAGAAAAGGAAATATCTTTACTTAAAACTAGACAGAAGCATTCTGAGAAACTTCTTTGTGATGTGTGCATTCATCTCACAGAGTTGAATCTTTCTTTTGTTTGAGCAGTTTTGAAACTCTCTTTTTGTAGAATCTTCAAGTGGATATTTTCAATGCTTTGAGGCTTATGGTGGAAAAGAAAATATCTTCACATAAAAACTAGCCAGAAGCATTCTGGGAAATTTTTGTGACGTGTGCATTCAACTCATGGAGTTCAACCTTTCTTTTGATTCAGCAGTTTGGAAACAGTCTTTTTACAGTATCTGCAAATGGCTATTTGGAGAGCTTTGAGGCCTATGGTGGAAAAGGAAATATCTTCCCATAAAAAGTAGACAGCAGCATTCTGAGAAACTCATTTGTGATCTGTGCATTCATCTCCCAGAGTTGAACCTTTCTTTTGATTCAGCAGTTTTGAAACTGTCGTTTTGTAGAATCTGCAAAGGAATATTTGTGAGCCCATTGAGGCTTCTGGGGTGATAGGAAATATCTTCACGTAAAAACTAGACAGATACTTTCTGAGAAACTATTTTGTCATGTGTGACTTCTACTCACCGGGTAGAAACTTTCTCTTGATTGAGCAGTTTGGAAACAGTCTTTTTGTAGAATCTGCAAATTGATATTTGGAGCGCTTTTGGCCTACGTTGAAAAACGAAATATCTTCCCATAAAAAGTAGGCAGAAGTTTTGGAGAAATTTATTTTGATGTGTGCATTCATCTCACACAGTTGAAATTTTCTTTTGATTGGGCAGTGTGGATACACTCGTTTTGTAGAGTCTGCAAGTGGATATTTGGAGCACTTTGTGGCCTATAGTGAAAAAGGAAATATCTTCACATAAAAACTAGATAGAAGAATTCTGAGAAACTTCCTTTGAATGTGTGCATTCATCTCACAGTGTTGAACTTTTTTCTTGATTGAGCAGCTTCTAAACAGTCATTTTGTAGAATATGCAAAGGAATATTTGTGAGCCCATTGATGCCTCCTGGGGAAATAGGAAATATCTTCAAATAAAAACTAGACAGAATCTTTCTCAGAAACGTCTTGGTGATGTGTGCATTTATCTCACTGAGTTGAACTTTACTTTGATTGAGCAGTTTGGAAACAGTGTTTTCTAGTATCTGCAAATGGATATTTTAAGCACTCTGAGGCCTACGGTGAAAAAGGAAATATCTTCAATATAAATCAGACAGAAGCATTCATAGAAACTTCTTTGTGATGTGTGCATTCATCTCACTGACTAGAACCTTTCTTTTGATTGAGCAGTTTTGAAACACTCTTTTAGCGGAATCTGCAAGTGTTTCTTTGGAGCGCATGAGGAATATGGTGGAAAAGGAATCTTCTTCACATGAAAACGGACGGAAGCATTCTGAGAAACTTCTCTGTGATGGATGCATTCATTTCACAGAGTTAAACCTTTCCTGTGATTGAGCGGTTTGGAAACAGTAGTTTTTTACAGTCTGCAGAAGGATACTTGTGAGCCGATTGAGGTCTATGGGGTGATAAGAAATATGTTCACATAAAAACTAGATAGAAAGTTTCTGAGAAACTTCTTTGTGATATTTGCTTTTATCTCATAGAGTTGAAACTTTCTTTTTATTGAGCAGTTTGGGAACAGTCTTTTTGTAGTATCTGCAAATGGATATTGCCAGTGCTTTGAGGCCTATGGTGAAAAAGGAAATATCTTCACATAAAAACAAGGCAGAAGCATTCTGAGAAACTTCTTTTTGATGTCTGCATTCATCTCGCAGAGTTGAACCTTTCTTTTGATTGAGCAGTTTTGAAACGCTCTATTTGTAGTATCTGCAAGTGGATATTTGGAACGCTTTGAGGCCTATAGTGGAAAAGGAAATATCTTCACATAAAAAACTAGAAAGAAGAATTCTGAGAAACATCCTAGGAAGGTGTATTTTCGTCTCACACTGTTAAACCCGTCTTTTGATTGAGCAGCTTCGATACAGTCATTTAGTAGAATATGAAAGGGAATATTTGAGAGCCCATTGAGGCCTCTGGGGAAATAAGAAATATCTTCACCTAAAAACTAGACAAAATCTTTCTGAGAAACACCCTTGTGATGTGTGCATTCATCATACACAGTTGAACTTTCTTTTGATTGAGCAGTTTGGATACAGTCATTTGTATTATCTGTAAATGGATATTTGGAGTGTACTGAGGCCTATGGTGAAAAAGGAAATATCCTCACATAAAATTCAGATGGAAGCATTCTCAGAAACTCCCTTGTGATGTGTGCATTCATCTCACAGACTTCAAACTTTCTATTGATTGAGCAGTTTTGAAACACTCTTTTTGTAGAATCTGCAAGTGGATATTTGGAGCGCTCTGTGGCCCATAGTGGAAAAGGAAATATCTTCATAAAAAAAATAAAAAGAAGCACTTTGAGAAAGTTCTCTGTGTTGTATGCAGTCATATCTCAGACATGAAGCTTTCTTTGGTACAGCAGTTTTAAAACACTCTTTTTGGAGATTCTGAAAGTAGATATTTGGAGAGACTTGAGGACTACGTTGGAAAAGGAAATATCTTCACAAAAAAACTAGACAGAAACATTCTGAGAAGCTTCTTTGTGATGTGTGCATCCATCTCAAAGAGTTGAACCTTTCTTTTGATTGAGCATTTTTGAAGCACTCTTTTTGTAGAATCTTCAAGTGGATATTTGGAGTGTTTGTGGCCTGTGGTGGAAAAGGAAATATATTCACATAAAAACTAGATAGAAGCATTCTGAGAAACTTCTTTGTGATGTGCTCATTCAACTCACAGAGTTGAGCTTTTCTTTTGATTGAGCAGTTTGGAAACAGTCTTTTTGTAGAATCTGCACGTGGATATTTGGAGCGCATGACGGCCTATAGTGGAAAAGGAAATATATTCACATAAAAACTAGACAGAAGCATTCTGAGAAACTTCTTTGTGATGTGCTCATTCAACTCACAGAGTTGAACTTTTCTTTTGTTTGAGCAGTTTGCAAACAGTCTTTTTGTAGAATCTGCAAGTGGATATTAGGAGTGCATTACGGCCTATAGTGGAGAATGAAATATCTTCACATTAAAACTAGACAGAAACATTATGAGAAACTGCTTTGTGATGTGTGCATTCATCACCAGAGTTGAGTTTCTCTTTTGATTGAACAGTTTTCAAACACTCTTTCTGTAGAATCTGAAAGGGATATTTGGAGCGCTTTGCAGCCTATGGTGAAAAAGGAAATATTTTCACATAAAAGCTAGACAGAAGCATTCTAAGAAAGTGCTTTGTGATGTGTGCATTCATCTCACAGTGTTGAACCTTTCTTTTGAATGAGCAGTTTTGAAACACTCTTATTGTAGAATCTGCAAGTGGATATTTGGAGAGTTTGAGGCCACTGGTGGAAAAGCAAATATCTTCACATCAAAACTAGACAGAATCATTATAAGTAATCTCTTTGAGATGCGTGCATTCAACTCACAGAGTTGGACGTTTCCTTTGATTGAGCAGTTTGGAAACAGTCTTTTTGCAGTATCTGCAAGCGGATATTTGGAGCACTTTCAGGCCTATAGTAGGAAAGGAAATATCTTCACATAAAAACTAGACAGAAGCATTCTGAGAAACTTCTTTGTGATGTGTGCATTCATCTCACAAAGTTGAAACTTTCTTTTGATTGAGCCGTTTGGAAACACTATTTTAGTAGAAACTGCAAGGGGATATTTGGAGCGTTTTGTGGTCTATGGTAGAAAAGGATATATCTTCACATAAAAATAGAAGCATTCTGAGGAACTTCCTGATGTGTGCATTCATCTCAAAGAGTTGAACTTTTCTTTTGATTGAGCAGCTTTGAAAAACCCTTTCTGCAGAATCTGCAAGTTGATATTTGGAGCGCTTTGTGGCCTATAGTAGAAAAGGAAATATCTTTACTTAAAACTAGACAGAAGCATTCTGAGAAACTTCTTTGTGATGTGTGCACTCATGTCACAGAGTTGAAACTTTCTTTTGTTTGAGCAGTTTTGAAACTCTCTTTTTGTAGAATCTTCAAGTGTATATTTTTAGCACTTTGAGGCCTATGGTGGAAAAGAAAATGTCTTCACATAAAAACTAGTCAGAAGCATTCTGAGAAACTTCTTTGTGACGTGTGCATTCAACTCATGGAGTTCAACCTTTCTTTTGATTCAGCAGTTTGGAAACAGTCTTTTTACAGTATCTGCAAATGGCTATTTGGAGAGCTTTGACACCTATGGTGGAAAAGGAAATCTCTTCTCATAAAAACTAGACAGCTACTTTCTGAGAAACTATTTTGTCGTGTGTGACTTCTACTCACCGGGTTGAAACTTTCTCTTGATTGAGCAGTTTGGAAACAGTCTTTTTGTAGAATCTGCAAATTGATATTTGGAGTGCTTTTGGCCTACGTTGAAAAACGAAATATCTTCCCATAAAAAGTAGGCAGAAGTTTTGGAGAAATTTATTTTGATGTGTGCATTCATCTCGCACAGTTGAAATTTTCTTTTGATTGAGCAGTGTGGATACATTCGTTTTGTAGAGTCTGCAAGTGGATATTTGGAGCACTTTGTGGCCTACAGTGAAAAAGGAAATATCTTCACATAAAAACTAGATAGAAGAATTCTGAGAAACTTCCGTTGAATGGGCGCATTCATCTCACACTGTTGAACTTTTTTTTTGATTCAGCACCTTCTAAACAGTCATTTTGTAGAATATGCAAAGGAATATTTGTGAGCCCATTGATGCCTCTGGGGAAACAGGAAATATCTTCACATAAAAACGAGACAGAATCTTTATCAGAAACGTCTTGGTGATGTGTGCATTCATCTCACTGAGTTGAACTTTAATTTGATTGAGCAGTTTGGAAACAGTCTTTTCTAGTATCTGCAAATGGATATTTTAAGCACTCTAAGGCCTACGGTGAAAAAGGAAATATCTTCAATATAAATCAGACAGAAGCATTCATAGAAACTTCTTTGTGATGTGTGCATACATCTCACCGACTAGAACCTTTCTTTTCATTGAGCAGTTTTGAAACACTCTTTTAGCGGAATCTGCAAGTGTTTATTTGGAGCGCATGAGGAATATGGTGGAAAAGGAATCTTCTTCACATAAAAACGAGACGGAAGCATTCTGAGAAACTTCTCTGTGATGGATGCATTCATTTCACAGAGTTAAACCTTTCCTGTGATTGAGCGGTTTGGAAACAGTAGTTTTTTACAATCTGCAGAAGGATACTTGTGAGCTGATTGAGGTCTATGGGGTGATAAGAAATATGTTCACATAAAAACTAGATAGAAAATTTCTGAGACACTTCTTTGTGATATTTGCTTTCATCTCACAGAGTTAAAACTTTCTTTTGATTGAGCAGTTTGGGAAAAGTCTTTTTGTAGTATCTGGAAATGGATATTACCAGTGCTTTGAGACCTATGGTGAAAAAGGAAATATCTTCCCATAAATACAAGGCAGAAACTTTCTGAGAAACTTCTTTCTGATGTGTGCTTTCATCTCACAGATTTGAACTTTTCTTTTGATTGAGCAGTTTTGAAACAGTCTTTTTGTACAATCTGCAAGTGGATATTTGGGGCACTTTCAGGCCTATGGGGGAAAAGGACACATCTTCCAATAAAAACTAGACAGCAGAGTTCTGAGAAACTTCCTAGGAATGTGTGCTTTCTTCTCACACTGTTGAACCTTTCTTTTGATTGAGCAGCTTCGATACAGTCATTTAGTAGAATCTGAAAGAGAATATTTGCGAGCCCATTGAGGCCTCTTGGAAAGTAGGAAATATCTTCACCTAAAAACTAGACAAAAACTTTCTGAGAAACACCCTTGTGTTGTGTGCATTCATCATACACAGTTGAACTTTCTTTTGATTGAGCAGTTTGGATACAGTCATTTGTATTATCTGTAAATGGGTATTTGGAGTGTACTGAGGCCTATGGTGAAAAAGGAAATATCCTCACATAAAATTCAGATGGAAGCATATTGAGAAACTTCTCTGTGATGTGTCCATTCATCTCATAGAGTAAAATCTTCCTTTTGATTGAGCAGGTTTGAAACACTCTTTTTGTAGAATCTGCAAGTGGATATTTGGAGCGCTCTGTGGCCCATAGTGGAAAAGGAAATATCTTCATAAAAAAAATAAACAGAAGCACTTTGAGAAACTTCTCTGTGTTGTATGCAGTCATATCTCAGACATGAAAATTTCTTTGGTACAGCAGTTTTAAAACACTCTTTTTGGAGATTCTGAAAGTAGATATTTGGAGAGACTTGAGGACTACGGTGGAAAAGGAAACATCTTCACAAAAAAACTAGACAGAAACATTCTGAGAAGCTTCTTTGTGATGTGTGCGTCCATCTCGAAGAGTTGAACCTTTCTTTTGATTGAGCATTTTTGAAGCACTTTTTTTGTAGAATCTTCAAGTGGTTATTTGGAGTGTTTGTGGCCTCTGGTGGAAAAGGAAATATATTCACATAAAAACTAGATAGAAGCATTCTGAGAAACTTCTTTGTGATGTGCTCATTCAACTCACAGAGTTGAGCTTTTCTTTTGATTGAGCAGTTTGGAAACAGTCTTTTTGTAGAATCTGCAAGTGGATATTTGGAGCGCATGACGGCCTATAGTGGAAAAGGAAATATATTCACATAAAAACTAGACAGAAGCATTCTGAGAAACTTCTTTGTGATGTGCTCATTCAACTCACAGAGTTGAACTTTTCTTTTGTTTGAGCAGTTTGCAAACAGTCTTTTTGTAGAATCTGCAAGTGGATATTAGGAGTGCATTACGGCCTATAGTGGAAAATGAAATAACTTCACATAAAAAATAGACAGAAACATGATGAGAAACTGCTTTGTGATGCGTGCATTCATCACCAGAGTTGAGTTTCTCTTTTGATTGAACAGTTTTGAAACACTCTTTCTGTAGAATCTGAAAGGGATATTTGGAGCGCTTTGCAGCCTATGGTGAAAAAGGAAATATCTTCACATAAAAGCTAGACAGAAGCATTCTAAGAAAGTGCTTTGTGACGTGTGCATTCATCTCACAGTGTTGAACCTTTCTTTTGATTGAGCAGTTTTGAAACACTCTTATTGTAGAATCTGCAAGTGGATATTTGGAGAGTTTGAGGCCACTGGTGGAAAAGCAAATATCTTCACATCAAAACCAGACAGAATCATTATAAGTAATCTCTTTGAGATGCGTGCATTCAACTCACAGAGTTGGACATTTCCTTTGATTGAGCAGTTTGGAAACAGTCTTTTTGCAGTATCTGCAAGCGGATATTTGGAGCACTTTCAGGCCTATAGTAGGAAAGGAAATATCTTCACATAAAAACTAGACAGAAAATTACTGAGAAATTTCTCAGTGATGTGTGCATTCATCTCACAGAGTTGAAACTTTCTTTTGATTGAGCAGTTTGGAAACACTCTTTTAGTAGAAACTGCAAGGGGATATTTGGAGCACTTTGTGGTCTTTGGTAGAAAAGGATATATCTTCACATTAAAAATAGACAGAAGCATTCTGAGGAACTTCCTGATGTGTGCATTCATCTCAAAGAGTTGAAATTTTCTTTTGATTGAGCAGCTTTGAAAAACCCTTTCTGCAGAATCTGCAAGTTGATATTTGGAGCGCTTTGTGGCCTATAGTAGAAAAGGAAATATCTTTACTTAAAACTAGACAGAAGTATTCTGAGAAACTTCTTTGTGATGTGTGCATTCATCTCACAGAGTTGAATCTTTCTTTTGTTTGAGCAGTTTTGAAACTCTCTTTCTGTAGAATCTTCAAGTGGATATTTTCAGCGCTTTGAGGCCTATCTTGGAAAAGAAAATATCTTCCCATAAAAACTAGTCAGAACCATTCTGAGAAACTTCTTTATGACGTGTGCATTCAACTCATGGAGTTCAACCTTTCTTTTGATTCAGCAGTTTGGAAACAGTCTTTTTACAGTATCTGCAAATGGCTATTTGGAGAGCTTTGAGGCCTATGGTGGAAAAGGAAATCTCTTCCCATTAAAACTAGGCAGCAGCATTCTGAGAAACTTATTTGTGATCTGTGCATTCATCTCCCAGAGTTGAACCTTTCTTTTGATTCAGCAGTTTTGAAACTGCCTTTTTGTAGAATCTGCAAAGGAATATTTGTGAGCCCATTGAGGCTTCTGGGGTGATAGGAAATATCTTCACGTAAAAACTAGACAGATAATTTCTGAGAAACTATTTTGTCATGTGTGACTTCTACTCACCGGGTTGAAACTTTCTCTTGATTGAGCAGTTTGGAAACAGTCTTTTTGTAGAATCTGCAAATTGATATTTGGAGTGCTTTTGGCCTACGTTGAAAAACGAAATATCTTCCCATAAAAAGTAGGCAGAAGTTTTGGAGAAATTTATTTTGATGTGTGCATTCATCTCACACAGTTGAAATTTTCTTTTGATTGAGCAGTGTGGATACACTCGTTTTGTAGAGTCTGCAAGTGGATATTTGGAGCACTTTGTGGCCTATAGTGAAAAAGGAAATATCTTCACATAAAAACTAGATAGAAGAATTCTGAGAAACTTCCTTTGAATGTGTGCATTCATCTCACAGTGTTGAACTTTTTTCTTGATTGAGCAGCTTCTAAACAGTCATTTTGTAGAATATGCAAAGGAATATTTGTGAGCCCATTGATGCCTCTGGGGAAATAGGAAATATCTTCAAATAAAAACTAGACAGAATCTTTCTCAGAAACGTCTTTGTGATGTGTGCATTCATCTCACTGAGTTGAACTTTACTTTGATTGAGCAGTTTGGAAACAGTCTTTTCTAGTATCTGCAAATGGATATTTTAAGCACTCTGAGGCCTACGGTGAAAAAGGAAATATCTTCAATATAAATCAGACAGAAGCATTCATAGAAACTTCTTTGTGATGTGTGCATTCATCTCACCGACTAGAACCTTTCTTTTGGTTGAGCAGTTTTGAAACACTCTTTTAGCGGAATCTGCAAGTGTTTATTTGGAGCGCATGAGGAATATGGTGGAAAAGGAATCTTCTTCACATGAAAACGAGACGGAAGCATTCTGAGAAACTTCTCTGTGATGGATGCATTCATTTCACAGAGTTAAAACTTTCCTGTGATTGAGCGGTTTGGAAACAGTAGTTTTTTACAATCTGCAGAAGGATACTTGTGAGCCGATTGAGGTCTATGGGGTGATAAGAAATATGTTCACATAAAAACTAGATAGAAAGTTTCTGAGAAACTTCTTTGTGATATTTGCTTTTATCTCCTAGAGTTGAAACTTTCTTTTTATTGAGCAGTTTGGGAACAGTCTTTTTGTAGTATCTGCAAATGGATATTACCAGTGCTTTGAGGCCTATGGTGAAAAAGGAAATATCTTCACATAAAAACAAGGCGGAAGCATTCTGAGAAACTTATATTTGATGTCTGCATTCATCTCTCAGAGTTGAACCTTTCTTTTGATTGAGCAGTTTTGAGAAGCTCTATTTGTAGTATCTGCAAGTGGATATTTGGAACGCTTTGAGGCCTATAGTGGAAAAGGAAATATCTTCACATAAAAAACTAGAAAGAAGAATTCTGAGAAACTTCCTAGGAAGGTGTATTTTCGTCTCACACTGTTAAACCTGTCTTTTGATTGAGCAGCTTTGATACAGTCATTTAGTAGAATATGAAAGGGAATATTTGAGAGCCCATTGAGGCCTCTGGGGAAATAAGAAATATCTTCACCTAAAAACTAGACAAAAACTTTCTGAGAAATACCCTTGTGTTGTGTGCATTCATCATACACAGTTGAACTTTCTTTTGATTGAGCAGTTTGGATACAGTCATTTGTATTATCTGTAAATGGGTATTTGGAGTGTACTGAGGCCTATGGTGAAAAAGGAAATATCCTCACATAAAATTCAGATGGAAGCATTCTTAGAAACTCCTTTGTGATGTGTGCATTCATCTCACAGACTTCAAACTTTCTATTGATTGAGCAGTTTTGAAACACTCTTTTTGTAGAATCTGCCAGTGGATATTTGGAGCGCTCTGTGGCCAATAGTGGAAAAGGAAATATCTTCATAAAAAAAATAAACAGAAGCACTTTGAGAAACTTCTCTGTGTTGTATGCAGTCATATCTCAGACATGAAAATGTCTTTGGTACAGCAGTTTTAAAACACTCTTTTTGGAGATTCTGAAAGTAGATATTTGGAGAGACTTGAGGACTACGGTGGAAAAGGAAATATCTTCACAAAAAAACTAGACAGGAACATTCTGAGAAGCTTCTTTGTGATGTGTGCATCCATCTCAAAGAGTTGAACCTTTCTTTTCATTGAGCATTTTTGAAGCACTCTTTTTGTAGAAACTTCAAGTGGATATTTGGAGTGTTTGTGGCCTGTGGTGGAAAAGGAAATATATTCACATAAAAACTAGATAGAAGCATTCTGAGAAACTTCTTTGTGATGTCCTCATTCAACTCACAGAGTTGAGCTTTTCTTTTGATTGAGCAGTTTGGAAACAGTCTTTTTGTAGAATCTGCAAGTGGATATTTGGAGCGCATGACGGCCTATAGTGGAAAAGGAAATATATTCACATAAAAACTAGACAGAAGCATTCTGAGAAACTTCTTCGTGATGTGCTCATTCAACTCACAGAGTTGAACTTTTCTTCTGTTTGAGCAGTTTGGAAACAGTCTTTTTGTAGAATCTGCAAGTGGATATTAGGAGTGCATTACGGCCTATAGTGGAAAATGAAATATCTTCACATAAAAACTAGACAGAAACATTATGAGAAACTGCTTTGTGATGCGTGCATTCATCACCAGAGTTGAATTTCTCTTTTGATTGAACAGTTTTGAAACACTCTTTCTGTAGAATCTGAAAGGGATATTTGGAGCGCTTTGCAGCCTATGGTGAAAAAGAAATATCTTCACATATAAGCTAGACAGAAGCATTCTGAGAAGGTGGTTTGTGATGTGTGCATTCATCTCACAGAGTTAAACCTTTCTTTGGATTGAGCAGTTTTGAAACACTCTTATTGTACAATCTGCAAGTGGATATTTGGAGAGTTTGAGGCCACTGGTGGAAAAGCAAATATCTTCACATAAAAACTAGAGAGAATCATTATAAGTAATCTCTTTGAGATGCGTGCATTCAACTCACAGAGTTGGACATTTCCTTTGATTGAGCAGTTTGGAAACAGTCTTTTTGCAGTATCTGCAAACGGATATTTGGAGCACTTTCAGGCCTATAGTAGGAAAGGAAATATCTTCACATAAAAACTAGACAGAAAATTACTGAGAAACTTCTTAATGATGTGTGCATTCATCTCACAGAGTTGAAACTTTCTTTTGATTGAGCCGTTTGGAAACACTCTTTTAGTAGAAACTGCAAGGGGATATTTGGAGCGTTTTGTGGTCTATGGTAGAAAAGGATATATCTTCACATAAAAATAGAAGCATTCTGAGGAACTTCCTGATGTGTACATTCATCTCAAAGAGTTGAACTTTTCTTTTGATTGAGCAGCTTTGAAAAACTCTTTCTGCAGAATCTGCAAGTTGATATTTGGGGTGCTTTGTGGCCTATAGTAGAAAAGGAAATATCTTTACATAAAACTAGACAGAAGCATTCTGAGAAACTTCTTTGTGATGTGTGCATTCATCTCACAGAGTTCAATCTTTCTTTTGTTTGAGCAGTTTTGAAACTCTCTTTTGGTAGAATCTTCAAGTGGATATTTTCAGCGCTTTGAGGCCTACGGTGGAAAAGAAAATATCTTCACATAAAAACTAGTCAGAAGCATTCTGAGAAACTTCTTTGTGACGTGTGCATTCAACTCATGGAGTTCAACCTTTCTTTTGATTCAGCAGTTTGGAAACAGTCTTTTTACAGTATCTGCAAATGGCTATTTGGAGAGCTTTGACGCCTATGGTGGAAAAGGAAATCTCTTCTCATAAAAACTAGACAGCTACTTTCTGAGAAACTATTTTGTCATGTGTGACTTCTACTCACCGGGTTGAAACTTTCTGTTGATTGAGCAGTTTGGAAACAGTCTTTTTGTAGAATCTGCAAATTGATATTTGGAGTGCTTTTGGCCTACGTTGAAAAACGAAATATCTTCCCATAAAAAGTAGGCAGAAGTTTTGGAGAAATTTATTTTGATGTGTGCACTCATCTCACACAGTTGAAATTTTCTTTTGATTGAGCAGTGTGGATACACTCGTTTTGTAGAGTCTGCAAGTGGATATTTGGAGCACTTTGTGGCCTATAGAGAAAAAGGAAATATCTTCACATAAAAACTAGATAGAAGAATTCTGAGAAACTTCCTTTGAGTGGGCGCATTCATCTCACACTGTTGAACTTTTTTTTTGATTGAGCACCTTCTAAACAGTCATTTTGTAGAATATGCAAAGGAATATTTGTGAGCCCATTGATGCTTCTGGGGAAACAGGAAATATCTTCACATAAAAACGAGACAGAATCTTTCTCAGAAACGTCTTGGTGATGTGTGCATTCATCTCACTGAGTTGAACTTTATTTTGATTGAGCAGTTTGGAAACAGTCTTTTCTAGTATCTGCAAATGGATATTTTAAGCACTCTGAGGCCTACGGTGAAAAAGGAAATATCTTCAATATAAATCAGACAGAAGCATTCATAGAAACTTCTTTGTGATGTGTGCATTCATCTCACCGACTAGAACCTTTCTTTTGATTGAGCAGTTTTGAAACACTCTTTTAGCGGAATCTGCAAGTGTTTATTTGGAGCGCATGAGGAATATGGTGGAAAAGGAATCTTCTTCACATGAAAACGAGACGGAAGCATTCTGAGAAACTTCTCTGTGATGGATGCATTCATTTCACAGAGTTAAACCTTTCCTGTGATTGAGCGGTTTGGAAACAGTATTTTTTTACAATCTGCAGAAGGATACTTGTGAGCCGATTGAGGTCTATGGGGTGATAAGAAATATGTTCACATAAAAACTAGATAGAAAGTTTCTGAGAAACTTCTTTGTGATATTTGCTTTTATCTCCTAGAGTTGAAACTTTCTTTTTATTGAGCAGTTTGGGAACAGTCTTTTTGTAGTATCTGCAAATGGATATTACCAGTGCTTTGAGGCCTATGGTGAAAAAGGAAATATCTTCACATAAAAACAAGGCAGAAGCATTCTGAGAAGCTTCTTTTTCATGTCTGCATTCATCTCGCAGTGTTGAAACTTTCTTTTGATTGAGCAGTTTTGAAACGCTCTATTTGTAGTATCTGCAAGTGGATATTTGGAACGCTTTGAGGCCTATAGTGGAAAAGGAAATATCTTCACATAAAAAACTAGAAAGAAGAATTCTGAGAAACTTCCTAGGAAGGTGTATTTTCGTCTCACACTGTTAAACCCGTCTTTTGATTGAGCAGCTTCGATACAGCCATTTAGTAGAATATGAAAGGGTATATTTGAGAGCCCATTGAGGCCTCTGGGGAAATAAGAAATATCTTCACCTAAAAACTAGACAAAAACTTTCTGAGAAACACCCTTGTGATGTGTGCATTCATCATACAAAGTTGAACTTTCTTTTGATTGAGCAGTTTGGATACAGTCATTTGTATTATCTGTAAATGGATATTTGGAGTGTACTGAGGCCTATGGTGAAAAAGGAAATATCCTCACATAAAATTCAGATGGAAGCATTCTTAGAAACTCCTATGTGATGTGTGCATTCATCTCACAGACTTCAAACTTTCTATTGATTGAGCAGTTTTGAAACACTCTTTTTGTAGAATCTGCCAGTGGATATTTGGAGCGCTCTGTGGCCCATAGTGGAAAAGGAAATATCTTCATAAAAAAAATAAACAGAAGCACTTTGAGAAAGTTCTCTGTGTTGTATGCAGTCATAAATCAGACATGAAACTTTCTTTGGTACAGCAGTTTTGAAACACTCTTTTTGGAGATTCTGAAAGTAGATATTTGGAGAGACTTGAGGACTACGGTGGAAAAGGAAATATCTTCACAAAAAAACTAGACAGAAACATTCTGAGAAGCTTCTTTGTGATGTGTGCATCCATCTCAAAGAGTTGAACCTTTCTTTTGATTGACCATTTTTGAAGCACTCTTTTTGTAGAATCTTCAAGTGGATATTTGGAGTGTTTGTGGCCTGTGGTGGAAAAGGAAATATATTCACATAAAAACTAGATAGAAGCATTCTGAGAAACTTCTTTGTGATGTGCTCATTCAACTCACAGAGTTGAGCTTTTCTTTTGATTGAGCAGTTTGGAAACAGTCTTTCTGTAGAATCTGCAGGTGGATATTTGGAGCGCATTACGGCCTATAGTGGAAAAGGAAATATATTCACATAAAAACTAGACAGAAGCATTCAGAGAAACCTCTTTGTGATGTGCTCATTCAACTCACAGAGTTGATCTTTTCTTTTGTTTGAGCAGTTTGCAAACAGTCTTTTTGTAGAATCTGCAAGTGGATATTAGGAGTGCATTACGGCCTATAGTGGAGAATGAAATATCTTCACATAAAAACTAGACAGAAACATTATGAGAAACTGCTCTGTGATGCGTGCATTCATCACCAGGGTTGAACCTTTCTTTTGATTGAACAGTTTTGAAACACTCTTTCTGTAGAATCTGAAGGGGATATTTGGAACGCCTTGCGGCCTATGGTGAAAAACGAAATATCTTCACATAAAAACTAGACAGATGCATTCTGAGAAAGTGCTTTGTGAGGTGTACATTCATCTCACAGAGTTAAACCTTTCTTTTGATTGAGCAGTTTTGAAACACTCTTATTGTACAATCTGCAAGTGGATATTTGGAGAGTTTGAGGCCACTGGTGGAAAAGCAAATATCTTCACATAAAAACTAGACAGAACCATTCTGAGAAATCTCTTTGAGATGCGTGCATTCAACTCACAGAGTTGGACCTTTCCTTTGATTGAGCAGTTTGGAAACAGTCTTTTTGCAGTATATGCAAATGGATATTTGGAGCACTTTCAGGCCTATAGTAGGAAAGGAAATATCTTCACATAAAAACTAGACAGAAAATTACTGAGAAACTTCTTAATGATGTGTGCATTCATCTCACAGAGTTGAAACTTTCTTTTGATTGAGCCGTTTGGAAACACTCTTTTAGTAGAAACTGCAAGGAGATATTTGGAGCATTTTGTGGTCTATGGTAGAAAAGGATATATCTTCACATAAAAATAGAAGCATTTTGAGGAACTTCATGATGTGTGCATTCATCTCAAAGAGTTGAACTTTTCTTTTGATTGAGTAGCTTTGAAAAACTCTTTCTGCAGAATCTGCAAGTTGATATTTGGAGTGCTTTGTGACCTATAGTAGAAAAGGAAATATCTTTACTTAAAACTAGACAGAAGCATTCTGAGAAACTTCTTTGTGATGTGTGCATTCATCTCACAGAGTTGAATCTTTCTTTTGTTTGAGCAGTTTTGAAACTCTCTTTCTGTAGAATCTTCAAGTGGATATTTTCAGCGCTTTGAGGCCTATGGTGGAAAAGAAAATATCTTCACATAAAAAGTAGTCAGAAGCATTCTGAGAAACTTCTTTGTGACGTGTGCATTCAACTCATGGAGTTCAACCTTTCTTTTGATTCAGCAGTTTGGAAACAGTCTTTTTACAGTATCTGCAAATGGATATTTGGAGAGCTTTGAGGCCTATGGTGGAAAAGGAAATCTCTTCCCATAAAAACTAGACAGCTACTTTCTGAGAAACTATTTTGTCATGTGTGACTTCTACTCACCGGGTTGAAACTTTCTGTTGATTGAGCAGTTTGGAAACAGTCTTTTTGTAGAATCTGCAAATTGATATTTGGAGCGCTTTTGGCCTACGTTGAAAAACGAAATATCTTCCCATAAAAAGTAGGCAGAAGTTTTGGAGAAATTTATTTTGATGTGTGCATTCATCTCGCACAGTTGAAATTTTCTTTTGATTGAGCAGTGTGGATACATTCGTTTTGTAGAGTCTGCAAGTGGATATTTGGAGCACTTTCTGGCCTACAGTGAAAAAGGAAATATCTTCACATAAAAACTAGATAGAAGAATTCTGAGAAACTTCCTTTGAATGTGCACGTTCATCTCACAGTGTTGCACTTTTTTTTTTTGACTGAGCACCTTCTAAACAGTCATTTTGTAGAATATGCAAAGGAATATTTGTGAGCCCATTGATGCCACTGGGGAATTAGGAAATATCTTCACATAAAAACTAGACAGATAATCTTTCTCAGAAACGTCTTGGTGATGTGTGCATTCATCTCACTGAGTTGAACTTTATTTTGATTGAGCAGTTTGGAAACAGTCTTTTCTAGTATCTGCAAATGGATATTTTAAGCACTCTGAGGCCTACGGTGAAAAAGGAAATATCTTCAATATAAATCAGACAGAAGCATTCATAGAAACTTCTTTGTGATGTGTGCATTCATCTCACCGACTAGAACCTTTCTTTTGATTGAGCAGTTTTGAAACACTCTTTTAGCGGAATCTGCAAGTGTTTATTTGGAGCACATGAGGAATATGGTGGAAAAGGAATCTTCTTCACATAAAAACGAGACGGAAGCATTCTGAGAAATTTTTCTGTGATGGGTGCATTCATTTCACAGAGTTGAACCCTTCCTGTGATTGAATGGTTTGGAAACAGTCGTTTTGTATAAGCTGCAGAAGGATATTTGTGAGCCGATTGAGGCCTATGGGGCGATAGGAAATATGTTCACATAAAAACCAGATAGAAAGTTTCTGAGAAACTTCTTTGTGATATTAGCTTTTATCTCATAGAGTTGAAAATTTCTTTTTATTGAGCAGTTTGGGAACAGTCTTTTTGTAGTATCTGCAAATGGATATTACCAGTGCTTTGAGGCCTATGGTGAAAAAGGAAATATCTTCACATAAAAACAAGGCGGAAGCATTCTGAGAAACTTCTTTTTGATGTCTGCATTCATCTCACAGAGTTGAACCTTTCTTTTGATTGAGCAGTTTTGAAAGGCTCTATTTGTAGGATCTGCAAGTGGATATTTGGAACGCTTTGAGGCCTATAGTGGAAAACGAAATATCTTCACATAAAAACCTAGAAAGAAGAATTCTGAGAAACTTCCTAGGAAGGTGTATTTTCGTCTCACACTGTTAAACCCGTCTTTTGATTGAGCAGCTTCGATACAGCCATTTAGTAGAATATGAAAGGGAATATTTGAGAGCCCATTGAGGCCTCTGGGGAAATAAGAAATATCTTCACCTAAAAACTAGACAAAAACTTTCTGAGAAACACCCTTGTGATGTGTGCATTCATCATACACAGTGGAACGTTCTTTTGATTGAGCAGTTTGGATACAGTCATTTGTATTATCTGTAAATGGATATTTGGAGTGTACTGAGGCCTATGGTGAAAAAGGAAATATCCTCACATAAAATTCAGATGGAAGCATTCTTAGAAACTCCTTTGTGATGTGTACATTCATCTCACAGACTTCAAACTTTCTATTGATTGAGCAGTTTTGAAACACTCTTTTTGTAGAATCTGCCAGTGGATATTTGGAGCGCTCTGTGGCCCATAGTGGAAAAGGAAATATCTTCATAAGAAAAATAAACAGAAGCACTTTGAGAAACTTCTCTGTGTTGTATGCAGTCATATTTCAGACATGAAACTTTCTTTGGTACCGCAGTTTTAAAACACTCTTTTTGGAGATTCTGAAAGTAGATATTTGGAGAGACTTGAGGACTACGGTGGAAAAGGAAATATCTTCACAAAAAAACTAGACAGAAACATTCTGAGAAGCTTCTTTGTGATGTGTGCATCCATCTCAAAGAGTTGAACCTTTCTTTTGATTGAGCATTTTTGAAGCACTCTTTTTGTAGAAACTTCAAGTGGATATTTGGAGTGTTTGTGGCCTGTGGTGGAAAAGGAAATATATTCACATAAAAACTAGATAGAAACATTCTGAGAAGCTTCTTTGTGATGTGCTCATTCATCTCACAGAGTTGAACTTTTCTTTTGATTGAGCACTTTGGAAACAGTCTTTTTGTAGAATCTGCAGGTGGATATTTGGAGCACATTACGGCCTATAGTGGAAAAGGAAATATATTCACATAAAAACTAGACAGAAACATTCTGAGAAACTTCTTTGTGATGTGCTCATTCAACTCACAGAGTTGAACTTTTCTTTTGTTTGAGCAGTTTGCAAACAGTCTTTCTGTAGAATCTGCAAGTGGATATTAGGAGTGCATTACGGCCTATAGTGGAAAATGAAATAACTTCACATAAAAACTAGACAGAAACATTATGAGAAACTGCTTTGTGATGCGTGCATTCATCACCAGAGTTGAGTTTCTCTTTTGATTGAACAGTTTTGAAACACTCTTTCTGTAGAATCTGAAAGGGATATTTGGAGCGCTTTGCAGCCTATGGTGAAAAAGGAAATATCTTCACATAAAAGCTAGACAGAAGCATTTTAAGAAAGTGCTTTGTGACGTGTGCATTCATCTCACAGTGTTGAACCTTTCTTTTGATTGAGCAGTTTTGAAACACTCTTATTGTAGAATCTGCAAGTGGATATTTGGAGAGTTTGAGGCCACTGGTGGAAAAGCAAATATCTTCACATCAAAACTAGTCAGAATCATTATAAGTAATCTCTTTGAGATGCGTGCATTCAACTCACAGAGTTGGACATTTCCTTTGATTGAGCAGTTTGGAAACAGTCTTTTTGCAGTATCTGCAAACGGATATTTGGAGCACTTTCAGGCCTATAGTAGGAAAGGAAATATCTTCACATAAAAACCATACAGAAAATTACTGAGAAACTTGTTAGTGATGTGTGCATTCATCTCACAGAGTTGAAACTTTCTTTTGATTGAGCAGTTTGGAAACACTCTTTTAGTAGAAACTGCAAGGGGATATTTGGAGCACTTTGCGGTCTTTGGTAGAAAAGGATATATCTTCACATAAAAAATAGACAGAAGCATTCTGAGGAACTTCTTAATGATGTGTGCATTCGTCTCACAGAGTTGAACTTTTCTTTTGATTGAGAGCTTGAAAAACTCTTTCTGCAGAATCTGCACGTTGATATTTGGAGTGCTTTGAGGCCTACAGTGGAAAAGGAAATATATTCACATAAAACTAGACAGAAGCATTCTGAGAAACTTCTTTGTGATGTGTGCATTCATCTCACAGAGTTGAATCTTTCTTTTGTTTGAGCAGTTTTGAAACTCTCTTTCTGTAGAATCTTCAAGTGGATATTTTCAGCGCTTTGAGGCCTATGGTGGAAAAGAAAATATCTTCACATAAAAACTAGTCAGAAGCATTCTGGGAAATTTTTGTGACGTGTGCATTCAACTCATGGAGTTCAACCTTTCTTTTGATTCAGCAGTTTGGAAACAGTCTTTTTACAGTATCTGCAAATGGCTATTTGGAGAGCTTTGAGGCCTATGGTGGAAAAGGAAATATCTTCCCATAAAAACTAGACAGCAGCATTCTGAGAAACTTATTTGTGATCTGTGCATTCATCTCACAGAGTTGAACCTTTCTTTTGATTCAGCAGTTTTGAAACTGTCGTTTTGTAGAATCTGCAAATTGATATTTGGAGTGCTTTTGACCTACGTTGAAAAACGAAATATCTTCCCATAAAAAGTAGGCAGATACTTTCTGAGAAACTATTTTGTCATGTGTGACTTCTACTCACCGGGTTGAAACTTTCTGTTGATTGAGCAGTTTGGAAACAGTCTTTTTGTAGAATCTGCAAATTGATATTTGGAGTGCTTTTGGCCTACGTTGAAAAACTAAATATCTTCCCATAAAAAGTAGGCAGAAGTTTTGGAGAAATTTATTTTGATGTGTGCATTCATCTCACACAGTTGAAATTTTCTTTTGATTGAGCAGTGTGGATACACTCGTTTCGTAGAGTCTGCAAGTGGATATTTGGAGCACTTTGTGGCCTATAGTGAAAAAGGAAATATCTTCACATAAAAACTAGATAGAAGAATTCTGAGAAACTTCCTTTGAATGGGCGCATTCATCTCACACTGTTGAACTTTTTTTTTGATTGAGCACCTTCTAAAGAGTCATTTTGTAGAATCTGCAAAGGAATATTTGTGAGCCCATTGATGCCTCTGGGGAAACAGGAAATATCTTCACATAAAAACGAGACAGAATCTTTCTCAGAAACGTCTTGGTGATGTGTGCATTCATCTCACTGAGTTGAACTTTAATTTGATTGAGCAGTTTGGAAACAGTCTTTTCTAGTATCTGCAAATGGATATTTTAAGCACTCTGAGGCCTACGGTGAAAAAGGAAATATCTTCAATATAAATCAGACAGAAGCATTCATAGAAACGTCTTTGTGATGTGTGCATTCATCTCACCGACTAGAACCTGTCTTTTGATTGAGCAGTTTTGAAACACTCTTTTAGCGGAATCTGCAAGTGTTTCTTTGGAGCGCATGAGGAATATGGTGGAAAAGGAATCTTCTTCACATAAAAACGAGACGGAAGCATTCTGAGAAACTTCTCTGTGATGGATGCATTCATTTCACAGAGTTAAACCTTTCCTGTGATTGAGCGGTTTGGAAACAGTAGATTTTTATAATCTGCAGAAGGATACTTGTGAGCCGATTGAGGTCTATGGGGTGATAAGAAATATGTTCACATAAAAACTAGATAGAAAGTTTCTGAGAAACTTCTTTGTGATATTTGCTTTTATCTCCTAGAGTTGAAACTTTCTTTTTATTGAGCAGTTTGGGAACAGTCTTTTTGTAATATCTGCAAATGGATATTACCAGTGCTTTGAGGCCTATGGTGAAAAAGGAAATATCTTCACATAAAAACAAGGCGGAAGCATTCTGAGAAAGTTTTTTTGATGTCTGCATTCATCTCACAGAGTTGAACCTTTCTTTTGATTGAGCAGTTTTGAAACGCTCTATTTGTAGTATCTGCAAGTGGATATTTGGAACGCTTTGAGGCCTATAGTGGAAAAGGAAATATCTTCACATAAAAAACTAGAAAGAAGAATTCTGAGAAACTTCCTAGGAAGGTGTATTTTCGTCTCACACTGTTAAACCCGTCTTTTGATTGAGCAGCTTCGATACAGTCATTTAGTAGAATATGAAAGGGAATATTTGAGAGCCCATTGAGGCCTCTGGGGAAATAAGAAATATCTTCACCTAAAAACAAGACAAAAACTTTCTGAGAAACACCCTTGTGATGTGTGCATTCATCATACACAGTTGAACTTTCTTTTGATTGAGCAGTTTGGATACAGTCATTTCTATTATCTGTAAATGGATATTTGGAGTGTACTGAGGCCTATGGTGAAAAAGGAAATATCCTCACATAAAATTCAGATGGAAGCATTCTTAGAAACTCCTATGTGATGTGTGCATTCATCTCACAGACTTCAAACTTTCTATTGACTGAGCAGTTTTGAAACACTCTTTTTGTAGAATCTGCCAGTGGATATTTGGAGCGCTCTGTGGCCCATAGTGGAAAAGGAAATATCTTCATAAAAAAAATAAACAGAAGCACTTTGAGAAACTTCTCTGTGTTGTATGCAGTCATATCTCAGACATGAAAATTTCTTTGGTACAGCAGTTTTAAAACACTCTTTTTGGAGATTCTGAAAGTAGATATTTGGAGAGACTTGAGGACTACGGTGGAAAAGGAAATATCTTCACAGAAAAACTAGACAGAAACATTCTGAGAAGCTTCTTTGTGATGTGTGCATCCATCTCAAAGAGTTGAAACTTTCTTTTGATTGAGCATTTTTGAAGCACTCTTTTTGTAGAATCTTCAAGTGGATATTTGGAGTGTTTGTGGCCTGTGGTGGAAAAGGAAATATATTCACATAAAAACTAGATAGAAGCATTCTGAGAAACTTCTTTGTGATGTGCTCATTCAACTCACAGAGTTGAGCTTTTCTTTTGATTGAGCAGTTTGGAAACAGTCTTTTTGTAGAATCTGCAGGTGGATATTTGGAGCGCATTACGGCCTATAGTGGAAAAGGAAATATATTCACATAAAATCTAGACAGAAGCATTCTGAGAAACTTCTTTGTGATGTGCTCATTCAACTCACAGAGTTGAACTTTTCTTTTGTTTGAGCAGTTTGCAAACAGTCTTTTTGTAGAATCTGCAAGTGGATATTAGGAGTGCATTACAGCCTATAGTGGAGAATGAAATATCTTCACATAAAAACTAGACAGAAACATTATGAGAAACTGCTTTGTGATGCGTGCATTCATCACCAGAGTTGAGTTTCTCTTTTGATTGAACAGTTTTGAAATACTCTTTCTGTAGAATCTGAAAGGGATATTTGGAGCGCTTTGCAGCCTATGGTGAAAAAGGAAATATCTTCACATAAAAGCTAGACAGAAGCATTCTAAGAAAGTGCTTTGTGACGTGTGCATTCATCTCACAGTGTTGAACCTTTCTTTTGATTGAGCAGTTTTGAAACACTCTTATTGTAGAATCTGCAACTGGATATTTGGAGAGTTTGAGGCCACTGGTGGAAAAGCAAATATCTTCACATCAAAACTAGACAGGATCATTATAAGTAATCTCTTTGAGATGCGTGCATTCAACTCACAGAGTTGGACATTTCCTTTGATTGAGCAGTGTGGAAACAGTCTTTTTGCAGTATCTGCAAACGGATATTTGCAGCACTTTCAGGCCTATAGTAGGAAAGGAAATATCTTCACATAAAAACTAGACAGAAAATTACTGAGAAACTTCTTAATGATGTGTGCATTCATCTCACAGAGTTGAAACTTTCTTTTGATTGAGCCGTTTGGAAACACTCTTTTCGTAGAAACTGCAAGGGGATATTTGGAGCGTTTTGTGGTCTATGGTAGAAAAGGATATATCTTCACATAAAAATAGAAGCATTCTGAGGAACTTCATGATGTGTGCATTCATCTCAAAGAGTTGAACTTGTCTTTTGACTGAGCAGCTTTGAAAAACTCTTTCTGCAGAATCTGCAAGTTGATATTTGGAATGCTTTGTGGCCTATAGTAGAAAAGGAAATATCTTTACATAAAACTAGACAGAAGCATTCTGAGAAACGTCTTTGTGACGTGTGCATTCATGTCACAGAGTTGAACCTTTCTTTTGTTTGAGCAGTTTTGAAACCCTCTTTTTGTAGAATCTTCAAGTGGATATTTTTAGCACTTTGGGGCCTATGGTGGAAAAGAAAACATCTTCACATAAAAACTAGTCAGAAGCATTCTGAGAAACTTCTTTGTGACGTGTGCATTCAACTCATGGAGTTCAACCTTTCTTTTGATTCAGCAGTTTGGAAACAGTCTTTTTACAGTATCTGCAAATGGCTATTTGGAGAGCTTTGAGGCCTATGGTGGAAAAGGAAATCTCTTCCCATAAAAACTAGACAGCTACTTTCTGAGAAACTATTTTGTCATGTGTGACTTCTACTCACCGGGTTGAAACTTTCTCTTGATTGAGCAGTTTGGAAACAGTCTTTTTGTAGAATCTGCAAATTGATATTTGGAGTGCTTTTGGCCTACGTTGAAAAACGAAATATCTTCCCATAAAAAGTAGGCAGAAGTTTTGGAGAAATTTATTTTGATGTGTGCACTCATCTCACACAGTTGAAATTTTCTTTTGATTGAGCAGTGTGGATACACTCGTTTTGTAGAGTCTGCAAGTGGATATTTGGAGCACTTTGTGGCCTATAGTGAAAAAGGAAATATCTTCACATAAAAACTAGATAGAAGAATTCTGAGAAACTTCCTTTGAATGGGCGCATTCATCTCACACTGTTGAACTTTTTTTTTGATTGAGCACCTTCTAAACAGTCATTTTGTAGAATATGCAAAGGAATATTTGTGAGCCCATTGATGCCTCTGGGGAAACAGGAAATATCTTCACATAAAAACGAGACAGAATCTTTCTCAGAAACGTCTTGGTGATGTGTGCATTCATCTCACTGAGTTGAACTTTACTTTGATTGAGCAGTTTGGAAACAGTCTTTTCTAGTATCTGCAAATGGATATTTTAAGCATTCTGAGGCCTACGGTGAAAAAGGAAATATCTTCAATATAAATCAGACAGAAGCATTCATAGAAACTGCTTTGTGATGTGTGCATTCATCTCACCGACTAGAACCTTTCTTTTGATTGAGCAGTTTTGAAACACTCTTTTAGCGGAATCTGCAAGTGTTTATTTGGAGCGCATGAGGAATATGGTGGAAAAGGAATATTCTTCACATGGAAACGAGACGGAAGCATTCTGAGAAACTTCTCTGTGATGGATGCATTCATTTCACAGAGTTAAACCTTTCCTGTGATTGAGCGGTTTGGAAACAGTAGTTTTTCATAATCTGCAGAAGGATACTTGTGAGCCGATTGAGGTCTATGGGGTGATAAGAAATATGTTCACATAAAAACTAGATAGAAAGTTTCTGAGAAACTTCTTTGTGATATTTGCTTTTATCTCATAGAGTTGAAACTTTCTTTTTATTGAGCAGTTTGGGAACAGTCTTTTTGTAGTATCTGCAAATGGATATTACCAGTGCTTTGAGGCCTATGGTGAAAAAGGAAATATCTTCACATAAAAACAAGGCAGAAGCATTCTGAGAAACTTCTTTTTGATGTCTGCATTCATCTCACAGAGTTGAACCTTTCCTTTGATTGAGCAGTTTTGAAACGCTCTATTTGTAGTATCTGCAAGTGGATATTTGGAACGCTTTGAGGCCTATAGTGGAAAAGGAAATATCTTCACATAAAAAACTAGAAAGAAGAATTCTGAGAAACTTCCTAGGAAGGTGTATTTTCGTCTCACACTGTTAAACCCCTCTTTTGATTGAGCAGCTTCGATACAGTCATTTAGTAGAATATGAAAGGGAATATTTGAGAGCCCATTGAGGCCTCTGGGGAAATAAGAAATATCTTCACCTAAAAACTAGACAAAAACTTTCTGAGAAACACCCTTGTGATGTGTGCATTCATCATACACAGTTGAACTTTCTTTTGATTGAGCAGTTTGGATACAGTCATTTGTATTATCTGTAAATGGATATTTGGAGTGTATTGAGGCCTATGGTGAAAAAGGAAATATCCTCACATAAAATTCAGATGGAAGCATTCTTAGAAACTCCTTTGTGGTGTGTGCATTCATCTCACAGACTTCAAACTTTCTATTGATTGAGCAGTTTTGAAACACTCTTTTTGTAGAATCTGCAAGTCGATATTTGGAGCGCTCTGTGGCCCATAGTGGAAAAGGAATTATCTTCATAAAAAAAATAAACAGAAGCACTTTGAGAAACTTCTCTGTGTTGTATGCAGTCATATCTCAGACATGAAACTTTCTTTGGTACAGCAGTTTTAAAACACTCTTTTTGGAGATTCTGAAAGTAGATATTTGGAGAGACTTGAGGACTACGGTGGAAAAGGAAATATCTTCACAAAAAAACTAGACAGAAACATTCTGAGAAAGCTTCTTTGTGATGTGTGCATCCATCTCAAAGAGTTGAACCTTTCTTTTGATTGAGCATTTTTGAAGCACTCTTTTTGTAGAAACTTCAAGTGGATATTTGGAGTGTTTGTGGCCTGTGGTGGAAAAGGAAATATATTCACATAAAAACTAGATAGAAGCATTCTGAGAAACTTCTTTGTGATGTGCTCATTCCACTCACAGAGTTGAGCTTTTCTTTTGATTGAGCAGTTTGGAAACAGTCTTTTTGTAGAATCTCCAGGTGGATATTTGGAGCGCATTACGGCCTATAGTGGAAAAGGAAATATATTCACATAAAAACTAGACAGAAGCATTCTGAGAAACTTCTTTGTGATGTGCTCATTCAACTCACAGAGTTGAACTTTTCTTTTGTTTGAGCAGTTTGCAAACAGTCTTTCTGTAGAATCTGCAAGTGGATATTAGGAGTGCATTACGGCCTATAGTGGAAAATGAAATATCTTCACATAAAAACTAGACAGAAACATTATGAGAAACTGCTTTGTGATGCGTGCATTCATTACCAGAGTTGAATTTCTCTTTTGATTGAACAGTTTTGAAACACTCTTTCTGTAGAATCTGAAAGGGATATTTGGAGCGCTTTGCAGCCTATGGTGAAAAAGGAAATATCTTCACATAAAAGCTAGACAGAGCATTCTAAGAAAGTGCTTTGTGACGTGTGCATTCATCTGACAGTGTTGAACCTTTCTTTTGATTGAGCAGATTTGAAACACTCTTATTGTAGAATCTGCAACTGGATATTTGGAGAGTTTGAGGCCACTGGTGGAAAAGCAAATATCTTCACATCAAAACTAGACAGGATCATTATAAGTAATCTCTTTGAGATGCCGTGCATTCAACTCACAGAGTTGGACATTTCCTTTGATTGAGCAGTTTGGAAACAGTCTTTATGCAGTATCTGCAAACGGATATTTGGAGCACTTTCAGGCCTATAGTAGGAAAGGAAATATCTTCACATAAAAACCATACAGAAAATTACTGAGAAACTTCTTAATGATGTGTGCATTCATCTCACAGAGTTGAAACTTTCCTTTGATTGAGCAGTTTGGAAACACTCTTTTAGTAGAAACTGCAAGGGGATATTTGGAGCGTTTTGTGGTCTATGGTAGAAAAGGTTATCTTCACATAAAAATAGAAGCATTCTGAGGAACTTCCTGATGTGTACATTCATCTCAAAGAGTTGAACTTTTCTTTTGATTGAGCAGCTTTGAAAAACTCTTTCTGCAGAATCTGCAAGTTGATATTTGGAGTGCTTTGTGGCCTATAGTAGAAAAGGAAATATCTTTACATAAAACTAGACAGAAGCATTCTGAGAAACTTCTTTGTGATGTGTGCATTCATCTCACGGAGTTGAATCTTTCTTTTGTTTGAGCAGTTTTGAAACTCTCTTTCTGTAGAATCTTCAAGTGGATATTTTCAGCGCTTTGAGGCCTATGGTGGAAAAGAAAATATCTTCACATAAAAACTAGTCAGAACCATTCTGAGAAACTTCTTTGTGACGTGTGCATTCAACTCATGGAGTTCAACCTTTCTTTTGATTCAGCAGTTTGGAAACAGTCTTTTTACAGTATCTGCAAATGGCTATTTGGAGAGCTTTGAGGCCTATGGTGGAAAAGGAATTATCTTCCCATAAAAACTAGACAGCAGCATTCTGAGAAACTTATTTGTGATCTGTGCATTCATCTCCCAGAGTTGAACCTTTCTTTTGATTCAGCAGTTTTGAAACTGTCGTTTTGTAGAATCTGCAAAGGAATATTTGTGAGCCCATTGAGGCTTCTGGGGTGATAGGAAATATCTTCACGTAAAAACTAGACAGATACTTTCTGAGAAACTATTTTGTCATGTGTGTCTTCTACTCACCGGGTTGAAACTTTCTGTTGATTGAGCAGTTTGGAAACAGTCTTTTTGTAGAATCTGCAAATTGATATTTGGAGTGCTTTTGGCCTACGTTGAAAAACGAAATATCTTCCCATAAAAAGTAGGCAGAAGTTTTGGAGAAAGTTATTTTGATGTGTGCATTCATCTCACACAGTTGAAATTTTCTTTTGATTGAGCAGTGTGGATACACTCGTTTTGTAGAGTCTGCAAGTGGATATTTGGAGCACTTTGTGGCCTATAGTGAAAAAGGAAATATCTTCACATAAAAACTAGATAGAAGAATTCTGAGAAACTTCCTTTGAATGGGCGCATTCATCTCACACTGTTGAACTTTTTTTTTGATTGAGCACCTTCTAAACAGTCATTTTGTAGAATATGCAAAGGAATATTTGTGAGCCCATTGATGCCTTCTGGGGAAACAGGAAATATCTTCACATAAAAACGAGACAGAATCTTTCTCAGAAACGTCTTGGTGATGTGTGCATTGATCTCACTGAGTTGAACTTTACTTTGATTGAGCAGTTTGGAAACAGTCTTTTCTAGTATCTGCAAATGGATATTTTAAGCACTCTGAGGCCTACGGTGAAAAAGGAAATATCTTCAATATAAATCAGACAGAAGCATTCATAGAAACTTCTTTGTGATGTGTGCATTCATCTCACCGACTAGAACCTTTCTTTTCATTGAGCAGTTTTGAAACACTCTTTTAGCGGAATCTGCAAGTGTTTATTTGGAGCGCATGAGGAATATGGTGGAAAAGGAATCTTCTTCACATAAAAACGAGACGGAAGCATTCTGAGAAACTTCTCTGTGATGGATGCATTCATTTCACAGAGTTAAACCTTTCCTGTGATTGAGCGGTTTGGAAACAGTAGTTTTTTACAATCTGCAGAAGGATACTTGTGAGCCGATTGAGGTCTATGGGGTGATAAGAAATATGTTCACATAAAAACTAGATAGAAAGTTTCTGAGAAACTTCTTTGTGATATTAGCTTTTATCTCCTAGAGTTGAAAATTTCTTTTTATTGAGCAGTTTGGGAACAGTCTTTTTGTAGTATCTGCAAATGGATATTACCAGTGCTTTGAGGCCTATGGTGAAAAAGGAAATATCTTCACATAAAAACAAGGCGGAAGGATTCTGAGAAACTTCTTTGTGATGTCTGCATTCATCTCACAAAGTTGAACCTTTCTTTTGATTGAGCAGTTTTGAAACACTCTCTTTGTAGTATCTGCAAGTGGATATTTGGAACGCTTTGAGGCCTATAGTGGAAAAGGAAATATCTTCACATAAAAAACTAGAAAGAAGAATTCTGAGAAACTTCCTAGGAAGGTGTATTTTCGTCTCACACTGTTAAACCCGTCTTTTGATTGAGCAGCTTCGATACAGTCATTTAGTAGAATATGAAAGGGAATATTTGAGAGCCCATTGAGGCCTCTGGGGAAATAAGAAATATCTTCACCTAAAAACTAGACAAAATCTTTCTGAGAAACACCCTTGTGATGTGTGCATTCATCATACAGAGTTGAAATTTCTTTTGATTGAGCAGTTTGGATACAGTCATTTGTATTATCTGTAAATGGATATTTGGAGTGTACTGAGGCCTATGGTGAAAAAGGAAATATCCTCACATAAAATTCAGATGGAAGCATTCTTAGAAACTCCTTTGTGATGTGTGCACTCATCTCACAGACTTCAAACTTTCTATTGATTGAGCAGTTTTGAAACACTCTTTTTGTAGAATCTGCCAGTGGATATTTGGAGCGCTCTGTGGCCCATAGTGGAAACGGAAATATCTTCATAAAAAAAATAAACAGAAGCACTTTGAGAAACTTCTCTGTGTTGTATGCAGTCATATCTCAGACATGAAAATTTCTTTGGTACAGCAGTTTTAAAACACTCTTTTTGGAGATTCTGAAAGTAGATATTTGGAGAGACTTGAGGACTACGGTGGAAAAGGAAATATCTTCACAAAAAAACTAGACAGAAACATTCTGAGAAGCTTCTTTGTGATGTGTGCGTCCATCTCGAAGAGTTGAACCTTTCTTTTGATTGCGCATTTTTGAGGCACTCTTTTTGTAGAATCTTCAAGTGGATATTTGGAGGGTTTGTGGCCTGTGGTGGAAAAGCAAATATATTCACATAAAAACTAGATAGAAGCATTCTGAGGAACTTCTTTGGGATGTGCTCATTCACCTCACAGAGTTGAGCTTTTCTTTTGATTGAGCAGTTTGGAAACAGTCTTTTTGTAGAATCTGCAAGTGGATATTTGGAGCGCATGACGGCCTATAGTGGAAAAGGAAATATATTCACATAAAAACTAGACAGAGAAGCATTCTGAGAAACTTCTTTGTGATGTGCTCATTCAACTCACAGAGTTGAACTTTTCTTTTGTTTGAGCAGTTTGCAAACAGTCTTTCTGTAGAATCTGCAAGTGGATATTAGGAGTGCATTACGGCCTATAGTGGAAAATGAAATATCTTCACATAAAAACTAGACAGAAACATTATGAGAAACCGCTTTGTGATGCGTGCATTCATCACCAGAGTTGAGTTTCTCTTTTGATTGAACAGTTTTGAAACACTCTTTCTGTAGAATCTGAAAGGGATATTTGGAGCGCTTTGCAGCCTATGGTGAAAAAGGAAATATCTTCACATAAAAGCTAGACAGAAGCATTCTAAGAAAGTGCTTTGTGACGTGTGCATTCATCTGACAGTGTTGAACCTTTCTTTCGATTGAGCAGTTTTGAAACACTCTTATTGTAGAATCTGCAAGTGGATATTTGGAGAGTTTGAGGCCACTGGTGGAAAAGCAAATATCTTCACATCAAAACTAGACAGGATCATTATAAGTAATCTCTTTGAGATGCGTGCATTCAACTCACAGAGTTGGACATTTCCTTTGATTGAGCAGTTTGGAAACAGTCTTTATGCAGTATCTGCAAACGGATATTTGGAGCACTTTCAGGCCTATAGTAGGAAAGGAAATATCTTCACATAAAAACCATACAGAAAAATTACTGAGACACTACTTAATGTTGTGTGCATTCATCTCACAGAGTTGAAACTTTCTTTTGATTGAGCCGTTTGGAAACACTCTTTTAGTAGAAACTGCAAGGGGATATTTGGAGCGTTTTGTGGTCTATGGTAGAAAAGGATATATCTTCACATAAAAATAGAAGCATTCTGAGGAACTTCATGATGTGTGCATTCATCTCAAAGAGTTGAACTTTTCTTTTGATTGAGCAGCTTTGAAAATCTCTTTCTGCAGAATCTGCAAGTTGATATTTGGAGTGCTTTGTGGCCTATAGTAGAAAAGGAAATATCTTTACATAAAACTAGACAGAAGCATTCTGAGAAACTTCTTTGTGATGTGTGCATTCATCTCACAGAGTTGAATCTTTCTTTTGTTTGAGCAGTTTTGAAACTCTCTTTTTGTAGAATCTTCAAGTGGATATTTTCAGCGCTTTGAGGCCTATGGTGGAAAAGAAAATATCTTCACATAAAAACTAGTCAGAAGTATTCTGAGAAACTTCTTTGTGACGTGTGCATTCAACTCATGGAGTTCAACCTTTCTTTTGATTCAGCAGTTTGGAAACAGTCTTTTTACAGTATCTGCAAATGGCTATTTGGAGAGCTTTGAGGCCTATGGTGGAAAAGGAAATCTCTTCCCATAAAAACTAGACAGCAGCATTCTGAGAAACTTATTTGTGATCTGTGCATTCATCTCACAGAATTGAACCTTTCTTTTGATTCAGCAGTTTTGAAACTGTCGTTTTGTAGAATCTGCAAAGGAATATTTGTGAGCCCATTGAGGCTTCTGGGGTGATAGGAAATATCTTCACATTAAAACTAGACAGATACTTTCTGGGAAACTATTTTGTCATGTGTGACTTCTACTCACCGGGTTGAAACTTTCTCTTGATTGAGCAGTTTGGAAACAGTCTTTTTGTAGAATCTGCAAATTGATATTTGGAGTGCTTTTGGCCTACGTTGAAAAACGAAATATCTTCCCATAAAGAGTAGGCAGAAGTTTTGGAGAAATTTATTTTGATGTGTGCATTCATCTCAAACAGTTGAAATTTTCTTTTGTTTGAGCAGTGTGGATACACTCGTTTCGTAGAGTCTGCAAGTGGATATTTGGAGCACTTTGTGGCCTATAGTGAAAAAGGAAATATCTTCACATAAAAACTAGATAGAAGAATTCTGAGAAACTTCCTTTGAATGGGCGCATTCATCTCACACTGTTGAACTTTTTTTTTGATTGGGCACCTTCTAAACAGTCATTTTGTAGAATATGCAAAGGAATATTTGTGAGCCCATTGATGCCTCTGGGGAAACAGGAAATATCTTCACATAAAAACGAGACAGAATCTTTCTCAGAAACTTCTTTGTGATATGTGCATTCATCTCACTGAGTTGAACTTTATTTTGATTGAGCAGTTTGGAAACAGTCTTTTTCTAGTATCTGCAAATGGATATTTTAAGCGCTCTGAGGCCTACGGTGAAAAAGGAAATATCTTCAATATAAATCAGACAGAAGCATTCATAGAAACTTCTTTGTGATGTGTGCATTCATCTCACCGACTAGAACCTTTCTTTTGATTGAGCAGTTTTGAAACACTCTTTTAGCGGAATCTGCAAGTGTTTCTTTGTAGCGCATGAAGAATATGGTGGAAAAGGAATCTTCTTCACATAAAAACGAGACGGAAGCATTCTGAGAAACTTCTCTGTGATGGATGCATTCATTTCCCAGAGTTAAACCTTTCCTGTGATTGACCGGTTTGGAAACAGTAGTTTTTTACAATCTGCAGAAGGATACTTGTGAGCCGATTGAGGTCTATGGGGTGATAAGAAATATGTTCACATAAAAACTAGATAGAAAGTTTCTGAGAAACTTCTTTGTGATATTTGCTTTTATCTCCTAGAGTTGAAACTTTCTTTTTATTGAGCAGTTTGGGGACAGTCTTTTTGTAGTATCTGCAAATGGATATTACCAGTGCTTTGAGGCCTATGGTGAAAAAGGAAATATCTTCACATAAAAACAAGGCAGAAGCATTCTGAGAAGCTTCTTTTTGATGTCTGCATTCATCTCGCAGTGTTGAAACTTTCTTTTGATTGAGCAGTTTTGAAACGCTCTATTTGTAGTATCTGCAAGTGGATATTTGGAACGCTTTGAGGCCTATAGTGGAAAAGGAAATATCTTCACATAAAAAACTAGAAAGAAGAATTCTGAGAAACTTCCTAGGAAGGTGTATTTTTGTCTCACACTGTTAAACCCGTCTTTTGATTGAGCAGCTTCGATACAGTCATTTAGTAGATTATGAAAAGGAATATTTGAGAGCCCATTGAGGCCTCTGGGGAAATAAGAAATATCTTCACCTAAAAACTAGACAAAATCTTTCTGAGAAACACCCTTGTGATGTGTGCATTCATCATGCACAGTTGAACTTTCTTTTGATTGAGCAGTTTGGATACAGTCATTTGTATTATCTGTAAATGGATATTTGGAGTGTATTGAGGCCTATGGTGAAAAAGGAAATATCCTCACATAAAATTCAGATGGAAGCATTCTTAGAAACTCCTTTGTGATGTGTGCACTCATCTCACAGACTTCAAACTTTCTATTGATTGAGCAGTTTTGAAACACTCTTTTTGTAGAATCTGCCAGTGGATATTTGGAGCGCTCTGTGGCCCATAGTGGAAAAGGAAATATCTTCATAAAAAAAATAAACAGAAGCACTTTGAGAAACTTCTCTGTGTTGTATGCAGTCATAACTCAGACATGAAACTTTCTTTGGTACAGCAGTTTTAAAACACTCTTTTTGGAGATTCTGAAAGTAGATATTTGGAGAGACTTGAGGACTACGGTGGAAAAGGAAATATCTTCACAAAAAAACTAGACAGAAACATTCTGAGAAGCTTCTTTGTGATGTGTGCGTCCATATCGAAGAGTTGAACCTTTCTTTTGATTGAGCATTTTTGAAGCACTCTTTTTGTAGAATCTTCAAGTGGATATTTGGAGGGTTTGTGGCCTGTGGTGGAAAAGGAAATATATTCACATAAAAACTAGATAGAAGCATTCTGAGAAACTTCTTTCTGATGTGCTCATTCAACTCACAGAGTTGAGCTTTTCTTTTGATTGCGCAGTTTGGAAACAGTCTTTTTGTAGAAACTGCAAGTGGATATTTGGAGCGCATTACGGCCTATAGTGGAAAAGGAAATATATTCACATAAAAACTAGACAGAAGCATTCTGAGAAACTTCTTTGTGATGTGCTCATTCAACTCACAGAGTTGAACTTTTCTTTTGTTTGAGCAGTTTGCAAACAGTCTTTTTGTAGAATCTGCAAGTGGATATTAGGAGTGCATTACGGCCTATAGTGGAGAATGAAATATCTTCACATAAAAACTAGACAGAAACATTATGAGAAACTGCTTTGTGATGCGTGCATTCATCACCAGAGTTGAGTTTCTCTTTTGATTGAACAGTTTTGAAACACTCTTTCTGTAGAATCTGAAAGGGGTATTTGGAGCGCTTTGCAGCCTATGGTGAAAAAGGAAATATCTTCACATAAAAGCTAGACAGAAGCATTCTAAGAAAGTGCTTTGTGACGTGTGCATTCATCTCACAGTGTTGAACCTTTCTTTTGATTGAGCAGTTTTGAAACACTCTTATTGTAGAATCTGCAAGTGGATATTTGGAGAGTTTGAGGCCACTGGTGGAAAAGCAAATATCTTCACATCAAAACTAGACAGAATCATTAGAAGTAATCTCTTTGAGATGCGTGCATTCAACTCACAGAGTTGGACATTTCCTTTGATTGAGCAGTGTGGAAACAGTGTTTTTGCAGTATCTGCAAACGGATATTTGCAGCACTTTCAGGCCTATAGTAGGAAAGGAAATATCTTCACATAAAAACTAGACAGAAAATTACTGAGAAACTTCTTAATGATGTGTGCATTCATCTCACAGAGTTGAAACTTCTTTTGATTGAGCAGTTTGGAAACACTCTTTTAGTAGAAACTGCAAGGGGATATTTGGAGCGTTTTGTGGTCTATGGTAGAAAAGGATATATCTTCACATAAAAATAGAAGCATTCTGAGGAACTTCATGATGTGTGCATTCATCTCAAAGAGTTGAACTTTTCTTTTGATTGAGCAGCTTTGAAAAACTCTTTCTGCAGAATCTGCAAGTTGATATTTGGAGTGCTTTGTGGCCTATAGTAGAAAAGGAAATATCTTTACATAAAACTAGACAGAAGCATTCTGAGAAACTTCTTTGTGATGTGTGCATTAATGTCACAGAGTTGAACCTTTCTTTTGTTTGAGCAGTTTTGAAACTCTCTTTTTGTAGAATCTTCAAGTGAATATTTTTAGCACTTTGAGGCCTGTGGTGGAAAAGAAAACATCTTCACATAAAAACTAGTCAGAAACTTTCTGAGAAACTTCTTTCAGATGTGTGCTTTCATCTCACAGATTTGAACTTTTCTTTTGATTGAGCAGTTTTGAAACAGTCTTTTTGTACAATCTATAAGTGGATATTTGGGGCACTTTCAGGCCTATGGTGGAAAAAGACACATCTTCCCATAAAAACTAGACAGCAGCATTCTGAGAAACTTATTTGTGATCTGTGCATTCATCTCACAGAGTTGAACCTTTCTTTTGATTCAGCAGTTTTGAAACTGTCGTTTTGTAGAATCTGCAAAGGAATATTTGTGAGCCCATTGAGGCTTCTGGGGTGATAGGAAATATCTTCACATAAAAACTAGACAGATACTTCCTGAGAAACTATTTTGTCATGTGTGACTTCTACTCACCGGGTTGAAACTTTCTCTTGATTGAGCAGTTTGGAAACAGTCTTTTTGTAGAATCTGCAAATTGATATTTGGAGTGCTTTTGGCCTACGTTGAAAAACGAAATATCTTCCCATAAAAAGTAGGCAGAAGTTTTGGAGAAATTTATTTTGATGTGTGCATTCATCTCACACAGTTGAAATTTTCTTTTGATTGAGCAGTGTGGATACACTCGTTTTGTAGAGTCTGCAAGTGGATATTTGGAGCACTTTGTGGCCTACAGTGAAAAAGGAAATATCTTCACATAAAAAGTAGATAGAAGAATTCTGAGAAACTTCCTTTGAATGGGCGCATTCATCTCACACTGTTGAACTTTTTTTTTGATTGAGAACCTTCTAAACAGTCATTTTGTAGAATATGCAAAGGAATATTTGTGAGCCCATTGATGCCTCTGGGGAAACAGGAAATATCTTCACATAAAAACGAGACAGAATCTTTCTCAGAAACGTCTTGGTGATGTGTGCATTCATCTCACTGAGTTGAACTTTACTTTGATTGAGCAGTTTGGAAACAGTCTTTTCTAGTATCTGCAAATGGATATTTTAAGCACTCTGAGGCCTACGGTGAAAAAGGAAATATCTTCAATATAAATCAGACAGAAGCATTCATAGAAACTTCTTTGTGATGTGTGCATTCATCTCACCGACTAGAACCTTTCTTTTGATTGAGCAGTTTTGAAACACTCTTTTAGCGGAATCTGCAAGTGTTTATTTGGAGCGCATGAGGAATAGGGTGGAAAAGGAATCTTCTTCACATAAAAACGAGACGGAAGCATTCTGAGAAACTTCTCTGTGATGGATGCATTCATTTCACAGAGTTAAACCTTTCCTGTGATTGAGCGGTTTGGAAACAGTAGTTTTTTTACAATCTGCAGAAGGATACTTGTGAGCCGATTGAGGTCTATGGGGTGATAAGAAATATGTTCACATAAAAACTAGATAGAAAGTTTCTGAGAAACTTCTTTGTGATATTTGCTTTTATCTCATAGAGTTGAAAATTTCTTTTTATTGAGCAGTTTGGGAACAGTCTTTTTGTAGTATCTGCAAATGGATATTACCAGTGCTTTGAGGCCTATGGTGAAAAAGGAAATATCTTCACATAAAAACAAGGCAGAAGGATTCTGAGAAACTTCTTTTTGATGTCTGCATTCATCTCACAGAGTTGAACCTTTCCTTTGATTGAGCAGTTTTGAAACGCTCTATTTGTAGTATCTGCAAGTGGATATTTGGAACGCTTTGAGGCCTATAGTGGAAAAGGAAATATCTTCACATAAAAAACTAGAAAGAAGAATTCTGAGAAACTTCCTAGGAAGGTGTATTTTCGTCTCACACTGTTAAACCCGTCTTTTGATTGAGCAGCTTCGATACACTCATTTAGTAGAATATGAAAGGGAATATTTGAGAGCCCATTGAGGCCTCTGGGGAAATAAGAAATATCTTCACCTAAAAACTAGACAAA
>NC_000013.11:16110759-16164892 GCF_000001405.40 Homo sapiens
AGCATTCCAAGAAATTTTTTGTGATGTGTCCATTTACGTCACAGAGTTGAACCTCTCCTTTGATTGGGCAGTTTGGAAACAGTCTTTTTGTAGAACCTGCAGAGGGATATTTGTGAGCCCTTTATGGCCTGTAGTGAAATACGAAGTATCTTCACCTAAAAACTAGACAGAAGGTTTCTGAGAAACTTCTTGGTGATGTGTGCCTTCATCTCACAGTGTTGAACCTTTCTTTTGATTGAGCAGTTTGCAAAGTCTTTCTGTAGAATCTGTAAATGGATATTTGGAGATATTTGAGGCCCGTGGTGAAAAAGGAAGTATCTTCACCTAAAAACCAGACAGAAAGATTTCTGAAAAACCTCTTTGTTATGTGTGAATTCATGTCACAGAATTCAACCTTTCTTTCACTTGAGCAGTTTGGAAACAGTCTTTGGTAGAAGATGCAGAGGGAAATTTCTTAGCTGCTTCAGGCCTATGGTGAAAAAGAAATATCTTCACAGAAAAACTAGACAGAAGCTTTCTGAGAAACTTCTTTGTGATGTGTCCATTCATCGCACAGAGTGAAACCTTTCTTTTGATTGAGGAGTTTGGAAAAGGTCTTTTCTTAGAATCTGCAAAGGGATATTTGTGAGCCCTTTATGGCCTTTGTTGAAATATGAAATATCTTCACGTAAAAAGTAGACAGAAGCTTTCTGACAAATTTCTTGGTGATGTGCACGTTTGTCACACGGAATTGAACCCTTCTTCTGATTGAGCAGTTTGGAATCAGTCTTTTTGTAGAATCTGTGAATGTGTATTTAGAGAGTTTTAAGGCCTAGGGTGCAAGAGGCAATGTCTTCACATAAAAACGACACAGTAGCATTTTGAGAAAACTCTTTGTGACATTTCCATTCATCTCTAATAGTTGGCCGTTTCCTTTCATTGAGCAGTTTGGAAGCAGTCTTTTTCTACAACCTGCAAAGGGATATTTCTGAGCGGTTTGGGGCCAACGGTGAAAAATAAATATCTTCCCATGAAAACTAGACAGAAGCATTTTGAGAAACTTCTTTTTGATGTGTGTATTCATCTCACAGATTTGAACCTTTCTTTAGATTTAGCAATTTGGAGAAAGTCTCTTGGTAGTATAAGTGGAGTTATATTTGCGAGCGGTTTAAGGCCTATGGTGCCAAAGGAAATACCTTCACATAAAATGCAGACAGAGGCTTTCCGAGAAACTTCTTTGTGATGTGTGCTTTCGTCTCACAGAGTTGTGCCTTTCTTTTGATTGACCAGTTTGGGAACATTCTTTTTGTAGAATCTGCAAATGGATATTTGGAGCAATTTGTGGCCTACGGTGAAAAAGGAAATATCTTCACAGAAAAACTAGACAGGCAGACTCCTGAGAAACTTCTTTTTGATGAGTGCATTCATTTCACATAGTTGAAACATGCCATAGGGGCCAGTTTGGAAACAGTCTTTTGGTAGAGTCTGCAGACAGATATTTTTGAGTGGCTTAAAGACTATGGTGAAAAAGGAAACATCTTCACATAGCAACCAGACAGAAGCAACCTGAGAAACTTCTTTGGGATGTGTTCATTCATCTCACAATGTTGAACGTTTCTTTTGATTGAGAAGTTTGTAAAGAGAACTTTTGTAGAATCCGCAAAGAGATATGTGTGAGTCCCTTGATTCCTATGGCAAAATAGGAATTATCTTGAGATAAAAGCGAGACAGAAGATTTCTGAGAAACTTTTTTGTGATGTGTGCTTTCATCTCACAGAGTTGAAAATTTCTTTTGATTGAGTAGTTTGGAAACAGTCTTTTCGTATCATCTGCAAACGGATGTTTGGAGCGCTTTGTGGCCTAAGGTGAAAATGGAAACATCTTCACATAAAAACTAGACAGAAGAATTCTGAGGAACCTCTTTATGATGTGTGCATTCATCTCAGATGGGTGAAATTTTCTTTTGATGGAGCAGTTTGGAAACAGTCTTTTTCTAGTATCTGCAGAAGGATATTTGTGAGCGGTGTAAGGCCTATGGTGAAAAAGGAAATATCTTCACATAAAAACCAGACAGAAGCCTTCTGAGGAACTTCTTTGTGATGTGTGCGTTCATCTCACCGTGTTGAAACTTTATTTTATTTGAGCAGTTTAGAGACAGTGTTTCTCTGCAATCTGCAAAGGTCTAACTCTGAGCCCTTTGAGGTCTATGGTGAAAAAGAAATGTCTTCACATTTAAACTAGACAGAAGCATTCTGAGGAACTTCGTTGTGATGCCTCCATTCATCTGACAGAGTTGAAGCTTTCTTCTAATTCAGCACTTTGGAAGGCATATTTTTGTAGAATCTGCAAAGGGATATTTTTTAGACTTTTGAAGCCTATAGTGAAATAGTAAATATCTTCCCATGAAAACTAGACAGGAGAATTCTGAGAAACTTCATTCTGACGTGGGCATTAACCTCAGAGAATTTAACCTTCCTTTTGATTGAGAAGTATGGAAACGGTCGTCTTTTAGAATCTGGAAAGGGATATTTCTTAGCCCTTTGAGGCCTACGGTGAAACTGGAAATATCTTCACATGAAAAGTAGACCGAAAGCTTTCGGAGAAACTTCTTTGAGATGTGTGCTTTCACCTCACAGAGTTAAACACTTTCTTTTGATGGAGCAGTTTGGAAACACTCTTTCTGTGACATCTGTAAATGGATATTAGGAGTGCTTTGAGGCCAATGGTGACAAAGGAAGTATCTTCACATAAAAACTACACAGAAGTTTTCTGAGAAACTACTTTTTGATGTGTCCACTAATCGAACAGAGTTAAAACTTTCTTTTTATTGAGCAGTTTGGATACAGTGTTTTCGGAGAATCTGCAAAAAACATTTGTGAGCCCTTTATTGCCTATGGTGAAATAGGAATCTTCTTCACATGTAAACTAGACAGAAGCTTTCTGAGGAACGTCTTCGTGACGTGTGCATTCGTCTCACATAGTTGAAACTTTCTTTGGATTGAGCAGTTTTGAAACAGTCCTTTTGTAGGATCTGCAAGGGGATATTTCTGAGCCCATTGAGTACTGTGATGCAATGTGAAGTATCTTCACATAAAAACTAGACAGACGCTTTCTAAGAAACTTCGTTGTGATGTGTGCTTTCATCGCACAGAATTGAAGCTATCCTTTGATTGAGGAGTTTGGAAACACTCTTTTTCTAGAATCTGCAAATGGATATTTGGAGAGCTTTTGAGGCCCGTGGTGAAAAACGAAATATCTTCACGTAAAAACTAAACAGAAGCTTTCTGAGAAACTCCCTTGCGATGTGTGCATTCACCTCACCGAGTGGAAACTTTCTTTTGATTGAGCAGATTGGAAAGAGGCTTATCGTACAACCTGCAAAGGGAGAATTCTGATCCGTTTGAGGCTTATGGTGAAAGAGAAATATCTTCCCATCAAAACTAGACGGAAGGATTCCAAGAAATTTTTTGTGATGTGTCCGTTTACGTCACAGAGTTGAACCTCTCCTTCTATTGGGCAGTTTGGGAACAGTCTTTTTGTAGAACCTGCAGAGGGATATTTGTGAGCCCTTTATGGCCTGTGGTGAAATACGAAGTATCTTCACCTAAAAACTAGACAGAAGGTTTCTGAGAAACTTCTTGGTGATGTGTGCCTTCATCTCACAGTGTTGAACCTTTCTTTTGATGGAGCAGTTTGGAAAGTCTTTCTGTAGAATCTGCAAATGGATATTTGGAGATATTTGAGGCCCGTGGTGAAAAAGGAAGTATCTTCACCTAAAAACCAGACAGGAGATTTCTGAAAAACCTCTTTGTGATGTGTGAATTCATGTCACAGAATTCAACCTTCCTTTCAGTTGAGCAGTTTGGAACCAGTCTTTTGTGGAAGCTGCAGAGGGAAATTTCTTAGCTGCTTGAGGCCTATGGTGAACAAGAAATAGCCTCACATAAAAAGTAGACAGAAGCTTTCTGAGAAACTTCTTCGTGATGTGTCCATTCATCTCACAGAGTTAAACCTTTCTTTTGGTTGAGGAGTTTGGAAAACGTCTTTTCTTAGAATCTGCGAAGGGATATTTGTGAGCCCTTTATGGCCTTTGTTGAAATATGAAATATCTTCACATAAAAAGTAGACAGAAGCTTTCTGACAAATTTCCTTGGTGATGTGCACGTTTGTCACACGGAATTGAACCCTTCTTCTGATTGAGCAGTTTGGAATCAGTCTTTTTGTAGAATCTGTGAATGTGTATTGAGAGAGTTTTAAGGCCTAGGGTGCCAAAGGCAATGTCTTCACATAAAAACGACACAGTAGCTTTTTGAGAAAACTCTTAGTGACATTTCCATTCATCTCTAATAGTTGGCCGTTTCCTTTCATTGAGCAGTTTGGAAGCAGTCTTTTTCTACAAACTGCAAAGGGATATTTCTGAGCGGTTTGGGGCCAACGGTGAAAAATAAATATCTTCCCATGAAAACTAGACAGAAGCATTTTGAGAAACTTCTTTTTGATGTGTGTATTCATCTCACAGAGTTGAACCTTTCTTTAGATTTAGCAATTTGGAGAAAGTCTCTTGGTAGTATAAGTGGAGTTATATTTGCGAGCGGTTTAAGTCCTACGGTGCCAAAGGAAATACCTTCACATAAAATGCAGACAGAGGCTTTCCGAGAAACTTCTTTGTGATGTGTGCTTTCGTCTCACACAGTTGCGCCTTTCTGTTGATTGACCAGTTTGGGAACATTCTTTTTGTAGAATCTGCAAATGGATATTTGGAGCAATTTGTGGCCTACGGGGAAAAAGGAAATATCTTCACATAAAAACTAGACAGGAGAATCCTGAGAAACTTCTTTTTGATGAGTGCATTCATTTCACATAGTTGAAACATGCTATATGGGCCAGTTTGGAAACAGTCTTTTTGTAGAGTCTGCAGACAGGTATGTTTGAGTGGCTTAAAGACCACGGTGAAAAAGGAAACATCTTCACATAGCAACCAGACAGAAGCAACCTGAGAAACTTCTTTGGGATGTGTTCATTCATCTCACAATGTTGAACGTTTCTTTTGATTGAGAAGTTTGTAAAGAGAACTTTTGTAGAATCCGCAAAGGGATATGTGTGAGCCCCTTGATTCCTATGGCAAAATAGGAATTATCTTGAGATAAAAGCGAGACAGAAGATTTCTGAGAAACTTTTTTGTGATGTGTGCTCTCATCTCACAGAGTTGAAAATTTCTTTTGATTGAGCAGTTTGGAAACAGTCCTTTCGTATCATCTGCAAACGGATGTTTGGAGCGCTTTGTGGCCTAAGGTGAAAATGGAAACATCTTCACATAAAAACTAGACAGAAGAATTCTGAGGAACTTCTGTATGATGTGTGCATTCATCTCAGATAGGTGAAATTTTCTTTTGATGGAGCAGTTTGGAAACAGTCTTTTTATAGTATCTGCAGAAGGATATTCGTGAGCGGTGTAAGGCCTATGGTGAAAAAGGAAATATCTTCATATTAAAACCAGACAGAAAGCTTTCTGAGGAACTTCTTTGTGATGTGTGCATTCATCTCACCGTGTTGAAACTTTATTTTATTTGAGCAGTTTAGAGACAGTCTTTCTCTGCAATCTGCAAAGGTCTAATTCTGAGCCCTTTGAGGTCTATGGTGAAAAAGAAATATCTTCACATTTAAACTAGACAGAAGCATTCTGAGGAACTTCTTTGTGATGTCTCCATTCATCTGACAGAGTTGAAGGTTTCTTTTAATTCAGCACTTTGGAAGGCATATTTTTGTAGAATCTGCAAAGGGATATTTTTGAGACATTTGAAGCCTATAGTGAAATAGTAAATATCTTCACATGAAAACTAGACAGGAGAGTTCTGAGAAACTTCATTCTGATGTGTGCATTAACCTCACAGAATTTAACCTTTCTTTTGATTGAGAAGTATGGAAATGGTGGTCTTTTAGAATCTGGAAAGGGATATTTCTTAGCCCTTTGAGGCCTATGGTGAGACTGGAAATATCATCACATGAAAACTAGACCGAAGCTTTCGGACAAACTTCTTTGAGATGTGTGCTTTCACCTCACAGAGTTAAACACTTTCTTTTGATTGAGCAGTTTGGAAACACTCTTTCTGTGACATCTGTAAATGGATATTAGGAGTGCTTTGAGGCCAATGGTGACAAAGGAAGTATCTTCACATAAAAAGTACACAGAAGTTTTCTGAGAAACTACTTTTTGATGTGTCCATTAACCTAACAGAGTTAAAACTTTCTTTTTATTGAGCAGTTTGGGTACAGTCTTTTTGTAGAATCTGCAAAACATATTTGTGAGCCCTTTATTGCCTATGGTGGAATAGGAATCTTCTTCACATATAAACTAGACAGAAGCATTCTGAGGAAGGTCGTCGTGACGTGTGCATTCGTCTCACATAGTTGAAGCTTTCTTTGGATTGAGCAGTTTTGAAACAGTCCTTCTGTAGGATCTGCAAGGGGATATTTCTGAGCCCATTGAGTACTGTGATGCAATGTGAAGTATCTTCACATAAAAACTAGACAGACGCTTTCTAAGAAACTTCGTTGTGATGTGTGCTTTCGTCTCACAGAATTGAAACTATCCTTTGATTGAGGAGTTTGGAAACACTCTTTTTCTAGAGTCTGCAAATGGATATTTGGAGAGCTTTTGAGGTCCGTGGTGAAAAACGAAATATCTTCACGTAAAAACTAAACAGAAGCTTCCTGAGAAACTCCCTTGCGAAGTGTGTGCATTCACCTCACCGAGTGGAAACTTTCTTTTGATTGAGCAGATTGGAAAGAGGCTTATTGTACAATCTGCAAAGGGAGAATTCTGATCCGTTTGAGGCTTCTGGTGAAAGAGAAATATCTTCCCATAAGAACTAGACGGAAGCATTCCAAGAAATTGTTTGTGATGTGTCCATTCACGTCACAGAGTTGAACCTCTCCTTTGATTGATCAGTTTGGAAACAGTCTTTTTGTAGAACCTGCAGAGGGATATTTGTGAGCCCTTTAAGGCCTGTGGTGAAATACGAAGTATCTTCACCTAAAAACTAGACAGAAGGTTTCTGAGAAACTTCTTGGTGATGTGTGCCTTCATCTCACAGTGTTGAACCTTTCTTTTCATTGAGCAGTTTGCAAAGTCTTTCTGTAGAATCTGCAAATGGATATTTGGAGATATTTGAGGCCCGTGGTGAAAAAGGAAGTATCTTCACCTAAAAACCAGACAGAAGATTTCTGAAAAACCTCTTTGTGATGTGTGAATTCATGTCACAGAATTCAACCTTTCTTTCAGTTGAGCATTTTGGAAACAGTCTTTGGTAGAAGCTGCAGAGGGAAATTTCTTAGCTGCTTGAGGCCTATGGTGAAAAAGAAATATCTTCACAGAAAAACTAGACAGAAGCTTTCTGAGAAACTTCTTCGTGATGTGTCCATTCATCTCACAGAGTTAAACCTTTCTTTTGATTGAGGAGTTTGGAAAACGTCTTTTCTTAGAATCTGCGAAGGGATATTTGTGAGCCCTTTATGGCCTTTGTTGCAATATGAAATATCTTCACATAAAAAGTAGACAGAAGCTTTCTGACAAATTTCTTGGTGATGTGCACGTTTGTCACACGGAATTGAACCCTTCTTCTGATTGAGCAGTTTGGATTCAGTCTTTTTGTAGAATCTGTGAATGTGTATTTAGAGAGTTTTAAGGCCTAGGGTGCAAAAGGCAATGTCTTCACATAAAAACGACACAGTAGCTTTTTGAGGAAACTCTTTGTGACATTTCCATTCATCTCTAATAGTTGGCCATTTCCTTTCATTGAGCAGTTTGGAAGCAGTCTTTTTCTACAAACTGCAAAGGGATATTTCTGAGCGGTTTGGGGCCAACGGTGAAAAATAAATATCTTCCCATGAAAACTAGACAGAAGCATTTTGAGAAACTTCTTTTTGATGTGTGTATTCATCTCACAGAGTTGAACCTTTCTTTAGATTTAGCAATTTGGAGAAAGTCTCTTGGTAGTATAAGTGGAGTTATATTTGCGAGCGGTTTAAGGCCTATGGTGCCAAAGGAAATACCTTCACATAAAATGCAGACAGAGGCTTTCCGAGAAACTTCTTTGTGATGTGTGCTTTCGTCTCACAGAGTTGCGCCTTTCTTTTGATTGACCAGTTTGGGAACATTCTTTTTGTAGAATCTGCAAATGGATATTTGGAGCAATTTGTGGCCTACGGTGAAAAAGGAAATATCTTCACATGAAAACTAGACAGGAGAATCCTGAGAAACTTCTTTTTGATGAGTGCATTCATTTCACATAGTTGAAACATGCTATATGGGCCAGTTTGGAAACAGTCTTTTGGTAGAGTCTGCAGACAGATATTTTTGAGGGGCTTAGAGACTATGGTGAAAAAGGAAACATCTTCACATAGCAACCAGACAGAAGCAACCTGAGAAATGTCTTTGGGATGTGTTCATTCATCTCACAATGTTGAACGTTTCTCTTGATTGAGAAGTTTGTAAGGAGAACATTTGTAGAATCTGCAAAGGGGTATATGTGAGCCCCTTGATTCCTATGGCAAAATAGGAATCATCTTGAGATAAAAGCGAGACAGAAGATTTCTGAGAAACTTTTTTGTGATGTGTGCTTTCATCTCACAGAGTTGAAAATTTCTTTTGATTGAGCAGTTTGGAAACAGTCTTTTCGTATCATCTGCAAACGGATGTTTGGAGCGCTTTGTGGCCTAAGGTGAAAATGGAAACATCTTCACATAAAAACTAGACAGAAGAATTCTGAGGAACTTCTTTATGATGTGTGCATTCATCTCACATGGGTGAAATTTTCTTTTGATGGAGCAGTTTGGAAACAGTCTTTTTCTAGTATCTGCAGAAGGATATTTGTGAGCGGTGTAAGGCCTATGGTGAAAAAGGAAATATCTTCACATAAAAACCAGACAGAAGCTTTCTGAGGAACTTCTTTGTGATGTGTGCATTCATCTCACCGTGTTGAAACTTTAAGTTATTTGAGCAGTTTAGAGACAGTCTTTCTCTGCAATCTGCAAAGGTCTAACTCTGAGCCCTTTAAGGTCTATGGTGAAAAAGAAATGTCTTCACATTTAAACTAGACAGAAGCATTCTGAGGAACTTCTTTGTGATGTCTCCATTCATCTGACAGAGTTGAAGGTTTCTTTTAATTCAGCACTTTGGAAAGCATATTTTTGTAGAATCTGCAAAGGGATATTTTTGAGACATTTGAAGCCTATAGTGAAATAGTAAATATCTTCACATGAAAACTAGACAGGAGAATTCTGAGAAACTTCATTCTAATGTGTGCATTCACCTCACAGAATTTAACCTTTATTTTGATTGAGCAGTATGGAAATGGTCCTCTTTTAGAATCTGCAAAGGGATATTTCTTAGCCCTTTGAGGCCTATGGTGAAACTGGAAATATCTTCACATGAAAACTAGACCGAAGCTTTCTGAGAAATTTCTTTGAAATGTGTGCTTTCATCTCACAGAGTTAAAACTTTCTTTTGATTGAGCAGTTTAGAAACACTCTTTTTGTGAAATCTGTAAATGGATATTAGGAGCACTTTGAGGCCAATGGTGACAAAGGATATATCTTCATGTAAAAACTAAACAGAAGTTTTCTGAGAAACTACTTTTTGATGTGTCCATTAATCTAACAGAGTTGAAACTTTCTTTTTATTTAACAGTTTGGATATAGTATTTTTGTAGAATCTGCCAAAAATATTTGTGAGCCCTTTATTGCCTATGGTGAAATAGGAATTTTCTTCACATATAAACTAGACAGAAGCATTCTGAGGAACGTCTTCGTGACGTGTGCATTCATCTCACATAGTTGAAACTTTCTTTGGATTGAGCAGTTTTGAAACAGTCCTTTTGTGGGATCTGCAAGGGGATATTTCTGAGCCCATTGAGTACTGTGATGCAATGTGAAGTATCTTCACATAAAAACTACACAGACGCTTTCTAAGAAACTTCGTTGTGATGTGTGCTTTCATCTCACAGAATTGAAACTATCCTTTGATGGAGGAGTTTGGAAACACTCTTTTTCTAGAATCTGCAAAGGGATATTTGGAGAGCTTTTCAGGCCCGTGGTGAACAACGAAATATCTTCACGTAAAAACTAAACAGAAGCTTTCTGAGAAACTCCCTTGCGATGTGTGCATTCACCTCAGCGAGTGGAAACTTTCTTTTGATTGAGCAGATTGGAAAGAGGCTTATCGTACAATCTGCAAAGGGAGAATTCTGATCCGTTTGAGGCTTATGGTGAAAGAGAAATATCTTCCCATGAGAACTAGACGGAAGCTTTCTGAGAAACTTCTTCATGATGTGTCCATTCATCTCACAGAGTTAAACCTTTCTTTTGATTGAGGAGTTTGGCAAACGTCTTTTCTTAGAATCTGCGAAGGGATATTTGTGAGCCCTTTATGGCCTTTGTTGAAATATGAAATATCTTCACATAAAAAGTAGACAGAAGATTTCTGAGAAAATTCTTTCTGATGTGTGCTTTCATCTCACAGTGTTGAACCTTTCTTTTGATTGAGCAGTTTGGAAAGTCTGTTTGTCGAATCTGCAAATGGATATTTGGAACTATTTGAGGCCCATGGTGAAAAAGAAAGTATCTTCACATAAAAACTAGACAGAAGATTTCTGAGAAACTTCTTTGTGTTGTGTAAATTCATGTCACAGAATTCAACCTTTCTTTCGATTGAGCAGTTTGGAAACAGTATTTTGTAGAAGCTGCAAAGGGAAATTTCTTAGCCGTTTGAGTCCTATAGTGAAAAAGAAATATCTTCACATAAAAACTAGACAGAAGCTTTCTGAGAAACTTCTTCGTGATGTGTCCATTCATCTCACAGTGTTAAACCTTTCTTTTGAGTGAGGAGTTTGGAAAACGTCTTTTCTTAGAATCTGCGAAGGGATATTTGTGAGCCCTTTAAGGCCTTTGTTGAAATATGAAATATCTTCACATAAAAAGTAGACAGAAGCTTTCTGACAAATTTCTTTGTGATGTGCAAGTTTGTCACACGGAATTGAACCCTTATTCTGATTGAGCAGTTTGGAATCAGTCTTTTTGTAGAATCTGTGAATGTGTATTTAGGGAGTTTTAAGGCCTAGGGTGCAAAAGGCAATGTCTTCACATAAAAACGACACAGTAGCTTTTCGAGAAAACTCTTTGCGACATTTCCATTCATCTCTAATAGTTGACCATTTCCTTTCATTCAGCAGCTTGGAAGCAGTCTTTTTCTACAAACTGCAAAGGGATATTTCTGAGCGGTTTGGGGCCAATGGTGAAAAATAAATATCTTCCCATGAAAACTAGACAGAAGCATTTTGAGAAACTTCTTTTGATGTGTGTATTCATCTCACAGAGTTGAACCTTTCTTTTGATTTAGCAATTTGGAGAAAGTCTCTTGGTAGTATAAGTGGAGTTATATTTGCGAGCGGTTTAAGGCCTATGGTGCCAAAGGAAATACCTTCACATAAAATGTAGACAGAGGCTTTCCGAGAAACTTCTTTGTGATGTGTGCTTTCGTCTCACAGAGTTGCGCCTTTCTTTTGATTGACCAGTTTGGGAACATTCTTTTTGTAGAATCTGCAAATGGATATTTGGAGCAATTTGTGGCCTATGGTGAAAAAGGAAATATCTTCACATAAAAACTAGACAGGAGAATCCTGAGAAACTTCTTTTTGATGAGTGCATTCATTTCACATAGTTGAAACATGCTATGTGGGCCAGTTTGGAAACAGTCTTTTGGTAGAGTCTGCAGACAGATATTTTTGAGTGGCTTAAAGACTATGGTGAAAAAGGAAACATCTTCACATAGCAACCAGACAGAAGCAACCTGAGAAACGTGTTTGGGATGTGTTCATTCATCTCACAATGTTGAACGTTTCTTTTGATTGAGAAGTTTGTAAGGAGAACTTTTGTAGCATCTGCAAAGGGGTATATGTGAGCCCCTTGATTCTTATGGCAAAATAGGAATTATCTTGAGATAAAAGCGAGACAGAAGATTTCTGAGAAACTTTTTTGTGATGTGTGCTTTCATCTCACAGAGTTGAAAATTTCTTTTGATTGAGCAGTTTGGAAACAGTCTTTTCGTATCATCTGCAAATGGATGTTTGGGGCGCTTTGTGGCCTAAGGTGAAAATGGAAACACCTTCACATAAAAACTAGACAGAAGAATTCTGAGGAACTTCTTTATGATGTGTGCATTCATCTCAGATAGGTGAAATTTTCTTTTGATGGAGCAGTTTGGAAACCGTCTTTTTATAGTATCTGCAGAAGGATACTTGTGAGCGGTGTAAGGCCTATGGTGAAAAAGGAAATATCTTCACATAAAAACCAGACAGAAGCTTTCTGAGAAACTTCTTTGTGATGTGTGCATTCATCTCACAGTGTTGAAACTTTATTTTATTTGAGCAGTTTAGAGACAGTCTATTTCTGCAATCTGCAAAGGCATATTTCTGAGCCATTTGAGGTCTGTGGTGAAAGAGAAATATCTTCACATTTAAACTAGACAGAAGCATTCCGAGGAACTTCTTTGTGATGTCTCTATTCATCTGACAGATTTGAAGGTTTCTTTTAATTCAGCACTGTGGAAACCATATTTTTGTAGAATCTGCAAAGGGATATTTTTGAGACCTTTGAAGCCTATAGTGAAATAGTAAATATCTTCACATAGAAACTAGACAGGAGAATTCTGAGAAACTTCATTCTGATGTGTGCATTAACCTCACAGAATTTAACGTTTCTTTTGATTGAGAAGTATGGAAATGGTGGTCTTTTAGAACCTGGAAAGGGATATTTCTTAGCCCTTTGAGGCCTATGGTGAGACTGGAAATATCATCACATGAAAACTAGTCCGAAGCTTTCTGAGAAACTTCTTGGAGATGTGTGCTTTCACCTCACAGAGTTAAACACTTTCTTTTGATTGAGCTGTTTGGAAACACTCTTTTTGTGAAATCTGTAAATGGATATTAGGAGTGCTTTGAGGCCAATGGTGACAAAGGAAATATCTTCACATAAAAACTAAACAGAAGTTTTCTGAGAAACTACTTTTTGATATGTCCATTAACCTAACAGAGTTAAAACCTTCTTTTTATTGAGCAGTTTGGATACAGTCCTTTTGTACAATCTGCAAAACATATTTGTGAGCCCTTTATTGCCTATGGTGAAATAGGAATCTTCTTCACATATAAACTAGACAGAAGCATTCTGAGGAACTTCTTCGTGACGTGTGCATTCGTCTCACATAGTTGAAGCTTTCTTTGGATTGAGCAGTTCTGAAACAGTCCTTTTGTAGGATCTGCAAGGGGATATTTCTGAGCCCATTGAGTACTGTGATGCAATGTGAAGTATCTTCACATAAAAACTAGACAGACGCTTTCTAAGAAACTTCGTTGTGATGTGTGCTTTCATCTCACAGAATTGAAACTATCCTTTGATTGAGGAGTTTGGAAACACTCTTTTTCTAGAATCTGCAAATGGATATTTGGAGAGCTTTTGAGGCCCGTGGTGAAAAACGAAATATCTTCACGTAAAAACTAAACAGAAGCTTCCTGAGAAACTCCCTTGCGATGTGTGCATTCACCTCACCGAGTGGAAACTTTCTTTTGATTGAGCAGATTGGAAAGAGGCTTATTGTACAATCTGCAAAGGGAGAATTCTGATCCGTTTGAGGCTTCTGGTGAAAGAGAAATATCTTCCCATAAGAACTAGACGGAAGCATTCCAAGAAATTGTTTGTGATGTGTCCATTCACGTCACAGAGTTGAACCTCTCCTTTGATTGATCAGTTTGGAAACAGTCTTTTTGTAGAACCTGCAGAGGGATATTTGTGAGCCCTTTAAGGCCTGTGGTGAAATACAAAGTATCTTCACCTAAAAACTAGACAGAAGGTTTCTGAGAAACTTCTTGGTGATGTGTGCCTTCATCTTACCGTGTTGAACCTTTCTTTTGATTGAGCAGTTTGGAAAGTCTTTCTGTAGAATCTGCAAATGGATATTTGGAGATATTTGAGGCCCGTGGTGAAAAAGGAAGTATCGTCACCTAAAAACCAGACAGAAGATTTCTGAAAAACCTCTTTGTGATGTGTGAATTCATGTCACAGAATTCAACCTTTCTTTCAGTTGAGCAGTTTGGAAACAGTCTTTGGTAGAAGCTGCAGAGGGCAATTTCTTAGCTGCTTGAGGCCTATGGTGAAAAAGAAATATCTTCACAGAAAAACTAGACAGAAGCTTTCTAAGAAACTTCTTTGTGATGTGTCCATTCATCTCACAGAGTTAAACCTTTCTTTTGATTGAGGAGTTTGGAAAATGTCTTTTCTTAGAATCTACAAAGGGATATTTGTGAGCCCTTTATGGCCTATGTTGAAATATGAAATATCTTCACATAAAAACTAGACAGAAGCTTTCTGACAAATTCCTTGGTGATGTGCACGTTTGCCACACGGAATTGAACCCTTCTTCTGATTGAGCAGTTTGGAATCAGTCCTTTTGTAGAATCTGTGAATGTGTACTGAGAGAGTTTTAAGGCCTAGGGTGCCAAAGGCAATGTCTTCACATAAAAACGACACAGTAGCTTTTTGAGAAAACTCTTTGTGACATTTCCATTCATCTCTAATAGTTGGCCATTTCCTTACATTGAGCAGTTTGGAAGCAGTCTTTTTCTACAAACTGCAAAGGGATATTTCTGAGCGGTTTGGGGCCAACGGTGAAAAATAAATATCTTCCCATGAAAACTAGACGGAAGCATTTTGAGAAACTTCTTTTTGATGTGTGTATTCATCTCACAGGGTTGAAACTTTCTTTTGATTTAGCAATTTGGAGAAAGTCTCTTGGTAGTATAAGTGGAGTCATATTTGCGAGCGGTTTAAGGCCTATGGTGCCAAAGGAAATACCTTCACATAAAATGTAGACAGAGGCTTTCCGAGAAACTTCTTTGTGATGTGTGCTTTCGTCTCACAGAGTTGCGCCTTTCTGTTGATTGACCAGTTTGGGAACATTCTTTTTGTAGAATCTGCAAATGGATATTTGGAGCAATTTGTGGCCTACGGTGAAAAAGGAAATATCTTCACATAAAAACTAGACAGGAGACTCCTGAAAAACTACTTTTTGATGAGTGCATTCGTTTCACATAGTTGAAACATGCCATATGGGCCAGTTTGGAAAGAGTCTTTTTGTAGAGTCTGCAGACAGATATTTTTGAGTGGCTTAAAGGCTATGGTGAAAAAGGAAACATCTTCACATAGCAACCAGACAGAAGCAACTTGAGAAATGTCTTTGGGATGTGTTCATTCATCTCACAATGTTGAACGTTTCTCTTGATTGAGAAGTTTGTAAGGAGAACATTTGTAGAATCTGCAAAGGGGTATATGTGAGCCCCTTGATTCCTATGGCAAAATAGGAATCATCTTGAGATAAAAGCGAGACAGAAGATTTCTGAGAAACTTTTTAGTGATGTGTGCTTTCATCTCACAGAGTTGAAAATTTCTCTTGATTGAGCAGTTTGGAAACAGTCTCTTCGTATCATCTGCAAACGGATGTTTGGGGCGCTTTGTGGCCTAAGGTGAAAATGGAAACATCTTCACATAAAAACTAGACAGAAGAATTCTGAGGAACTTCTGTATGATGTGTGCATTCATCTCAGATAGGTGAAATTTTCTTTTGATGGAGCAGTTTGGAAACAGTCTTTTTATAGTATCTGCAGAAGGATATTTGTGAGCGGTGTAAGGCCTATGGTGAAAAAGGAAATATCTTCACATAAAAACCAGACAGAAGCTTTCTGAGGAACTTCTTTGTGATGTGTGCATTCATCTCACCGTGTTGAAACTTTATGTTATTTGAGCAGTTTAGAGACAGTCTTTCTCTGCAATCTGCCAAGGTCCAACTCTGAGCCCTTTGAGGTCTATGGTGAAAAAGAAATGTCTTCACATTTCAACTAGACAGAAGCATTCCGAGGAACTTCTTTGTGATGTCCCCATTCATCTGACAGAGTTGAAGGTTTCTTTTAATTCAGCACTGTGGAAACCATATTTTTGTAGAATCTGCAAAGGGATATTTTTGAGACCTTTGAAGCCTATAGTGAAATAGTAAATATCTTCACATAGAAACTAGACAGGGAGAATTCTGAGAAACTTCATTCTGATGTGTGCATTCACCTCACAGAATTTAACCTTTCTTTTGATTGAGCAGTATGGAAATGTTCGTCTTTTAGAATTTGGAAAGGGATATTTCTTAGCCCTTTGAGGCCTATGGTGAAACTGGAAATATCTTCACATGAAAACTAGACCAAAGCTTTCTGAGAAAGTTCTTTGAGATGTGTGCTTTCATCTCACAGAGTTAAAACTTTCTTTTGATTGAGCAGTTTGGAAACACTCTTTTTGTGATATCTGTAAATGGATATTAGGAGTGCTTTGAGGCCAATGGTGACAAAGGAAATATCCTCACATAAAAACTAAACAGAAGTTTTCTTGAGAAACTACTTTTTGATGTGTCCATTAACCTAACAGAGTTAAAACTTTCTTTTTATTGAGCAGTTTGGGTACAGTCTTTTTGTAGAATCTGCAAAACATATTTGTGAGCCCTTTATTGCCTATGGTGGAATAGGAATCTTCTTCACATATAAACTAGACAGAAGCATTCTGAGGCACTTCTTCGTGACGTGTGCATTCGTCTCACATAGTTGAAACTTTCTTTGGATTGAGCAGTTTTGAAACAGTCCTTTTGTAGGATCTGCAAGGGGATATTTCTGAGCCCCTTGTGTACTGTGATGCAATGTGAAGTATCTTCACATAAAAACTTCACAGAAGCTTTCTAAGAAACTTCGTTGTGATGTGTGCTTTCATCTCACAGAATTGAAACTATCCTTTGATTGAGGAGTTTGGAAACACTCTTTTTCTAGAATCTGCAAATGGATATTTGGAGAGCTTTTGAGGCCAGTGGTGAAAAACGAAATATCTTCACGTAAAAACTAAACAGAAGCTTTCTGAGAAACTCCCTTGCGATGTGTGCATTCACCTCACCGAGTGGAAACTTTCTTTTGATTGAGCAGATTGGAAAGAGGCTTATCGTACAATCTGCAAAGGGAGAATTCTGATCCGTTTGAGGCTTATGGTGAAAGAGAAATATCTTCCCATAAGAACTAGACGGAAGCATTCCAAGAAATTTTTTGTGATGTGTCCATTTACGTCACAGAGTTGAACCTCTCCTTTGATTGGGCAGTTTGGGAACAGTCTTTTTGTAGAACCTGCAGAGGGATATTTGTGAGCCCTTTATGGCCTGTGGTGAAATACGAAGTATCTTCACCTAAAAACTAGACAGAAGGTTTCTGAGAAACTTCTTGGTGATGTGTGCCTTCATCTCACAGTGTTGAACCCTTCTTTTGATTGAGCAGTTTGCAAAGTCTTTCTGTAGAATCTGCAAATGGATATTTGGAGATATTTGAGGCCCGTGGTGAAAAAGGAAGTATCTTCACCTAAAAACCAGACAGAAGATTTCTGAAAAACCTCTTTGTGATGTGTGAATTTATGTCACAGAATTCAACCTTTCTTTCAGTTGAGCAGTTTGGAAACAGTCTTTGGTAGAAGCTGCAGAGGGAAATTTCTTAGCTGCTTGAGGCCTATGGTGAAAAAGAAATATCTTCACAGAAAAACTAGACAGAAGCTTTCTGAGAAACTTCTTTGTGATGTGTCCATTCATCACACAGAGTGAAACCTTTCTTTTGATTGAGGAGTTTGGAAAATGTCTTTCCTTAGAATCTGCAAAGGGATATTTGTGAGCCCTTTATGGCCTTTGTTGAAATATGAAATATCTTCACATAAAAAGTAGACAGAAGCTTTCTGACAAATTCCTTGGTGATGTGCACGTTTGTCACACGGAATTGAACCCTTCTTCTGATTGAGCAGTTTGGAATCAGTCTTTTTGTAGAATCTGTGAATGTGTATTGAGAGAGTTTTAAGGCCTAGGGTGCCAAAGGCAATGTCTTCACATAAAAACGACACAGTAGCTTTTTGAGAAAACTCTTTGTGACATTTCCATTCATCTCTAATAGTTGACCATTTCCTTTCATTGAGCAGTTTGGAAGCAGTCTTTTTCTACAAACTGCAAAGGGATATTTCGGAGCGGTTTGGGGCCAACGGTGAAAAATAAATATCTTCCCATGAAAACTAGACAGAGAAGCATTTTGAGAAACTTCTTTTTGATGTGTGTATTCATCTCACAGAGTTGAACCTTTCTTTTGATTTAGCAATCTGGAGAATGTCTCTAGGTAGTATAAGTGGAGTTATGTTTGCGAGCGGTTTAAGTCCTATGGTGCCAAAGGAAATACCTTCACATAAAATGTAGACAGAAGCTTTCCGGGAAACTTCTTTGTGATGTGTGCTTTCGTCTCACAGAGTTGCGCCTTTCTTTTGATTGACCAGTTTGGGAACATTCTTTTTGTAGAATCTGCAAATGGATATTTGGAGCAATTTGTGGCCTACAGTGAAAAAGGAAATATCTTCACATAAAAACTAGACAGGAGAATCCTGAGGAACTCCTTTTTGATGAGTGCATTCATTTCACATAGTTGAAACATGCTATATGGGCCAGTTTGGAAACAGTCTTTTTGTAGAGTCTGCAGACAGGTATTTTAGAGTGGCTTAAAGACTATGGTGAAAAAGGAAACATCTTCACATAGCAACCAGACAGAAGCAACCTGAGAAACGTCTTTGGGATGTGTTCATTCATCTCACAATGTTGAACGTTTCTTTTGATTGAGAAGTTTTTAAGGAGAACTTTTGTAGAATCTGCAAAGGGATATATGTGAGCCCCTTGATTCCTATGGCAAAATAGGAATTATCTTGAGATAAAAGCGAGACAGAAGATTTCTGAGCAAACTTCTTTGTGATGTGTGCTTTCATCTCACAGAGTTGAAAATTTCTTTTGATTGAGCAGTTTGGAAACAGTCTTTTTGTATAATCTGCAAATGGATATTTGGAGCACTTTGTGGCCTAAGGTGAAAATGGAAATATCTTCACATAAAAACTAGACAGAAGAATTCTGAGGAACTTCTGTATGATGTGTGCATTCATCTCAGTATAGGTGAAATTTTCTTTTGATGGAGCAGTTTGGAAACAGTCTTTTTATAGTATCTGCAGAAGGATATTCGTGAGCGGTGTAAGGCCTATGGTGAAAAAGGAAATATCTTCACATTAAAACCAGACAGAAGCTTTCTGAGGAACTTCTTTGTGATGTGTGCATTCATCTCACCGTGTTGAAACTTTATGTTATTTGAGCAGTTTAGAGACAGTCTTTCTCTGCAATCTGCAAAGGTCTAACTCTGAGCCCTTTGAGGTCTATGGTGAAAAAGAAATGTCTTCACATTTAAACTAGACAGAAGCATTCTGAGGAACTTCTTTGTGATGTCTCCATTCATCTGAGAGAGTTGAAGGTTTCTTTTAATTCAGCACTTTGGAAAGCATATTTTTGTAGAATCTGCAAAGGGATATTTTTGAGACATTTGAAGCCTATAGTGAAATAGTAAATATCTTCACATGAAAACTAGACAGGAGAATTCTGAGAAACTTCATTCTGATATGTGCATTAACCTCACAGAATGTAACCTTTCTTTTGATTGAGAAGTATGGAAATGGTGGTCTTTTAGAATCTGGAAAGAGATATTTCTTAGCCCTTTGAGGCCTATGGTGAGACTGGAAATATCATCACATGAAAACTAGACCGAAGCTTTCGGAGAAACTTCTTTGAGATGTGTGCTTTCACCTCACAGAGTTAAACACTTTCTTTTAATTGAGCAGTTTGGAAACACTCTTTCTGTGACATCTGTAAATGGATATTAGGAGTGCTTTGAGGCCAATGGTGACAAAGGAAGTATCTTCACATAAAAACTACACAGAAGTTTTCTGAGAAACTACTTTTTGATGTGTCCATTAACCTAACAGAGTTAAAACTTTCTTTTTATTGAGCAGTTTGGATACAGTCCTTTTGTAGAATCTGCAAAACATATTTGTGAGCCCTTTATTGCCTATGGTGAAATAGGAATCTTCTTCACATATAAACTAGACAGAAGCATTCTGAGGAAGGTCTTCGTGACGTGTGCATTCGTGTCACATAGTTGAAGCTTTCTTTGGATTGAGCAGTTTTGAAACAGTCCTTTTCTAGGATCTGCAAGGGGATATTTCTGAGCCCATTGAGTACTGTGATGCAATGTGAAGTATCTTCACATAAAAACTAGACAGACGCTTTCTAAGAAACTTCGTTGTGATGTGTGCTTTCATCTCACAGAATTGAAACTATGCTTTGATTGAGGAGTTTGGAAACACTCTTTTTCTAGAATCTGCAAATGGATATTTGGAGAGCTTTTGAGGCCAGTGGTGAAAAACGAAATATCTTCACGTAAAAACTAAACAGAAGCTTTCTGAGAAACTCCCTTGCGATGTGTGCATTCACCTCACCCAGTGGAAACTTTCTTTTGATTGAGCAGATTGGAAAGAGGCTTATCGTACAATCTGCAAAGGGAGAATTCTGATCCGTTTGAGGCTTATGGTGAAAGAGAAATATCTTCCCATAAAAACTAGACGGAAGCATTCCAAGTAATTTTTTATGATGTGTCCATTCACGTCACAGAGTTGAACCTCTCCTTTGATTGAGCAGTTTGGAAACAGTCTTTTTGTAGAACCTGCAAAGGGATATTTGTGAGCCCTTTATGGCCTGTGGTGAAATACGAAGTATCTTCACCTAAAAACTAGACAGAAGGTTTCTGAGAAACTTCTTGGTGATGGGTGCCTTCATCTCACAGTGTTAAACCTTTCTTTTGATTGAGCAGTTTGCAACGTCTTTCTGTAGAATCTGCAAATGGATATTTGGAGATATTTGAGGCCCGTGGTGAAAAAGGAAGTATCTTCACCTAAAAAACAGACAGAAGATTTCTGAAAAACCTCTTTGTGATGTGTGAATTCATGTCACAGAATTCAACCTTTCTTTCAGGTGAGCAGTTTGGAAACAGTCTTTGGTAGAAGCTGCAGAGGGAAATTTTTTAGCTGCTTGAGGCCTATTGTGGAAAAGAAATATCTTCACAGAAAAACTAGACAGAAGCTTTCTGAGAAACTTCTTCGTGATGTGTCCATTCATCTCACAGAGTTAAACCTTTCTTTTGGTTGAGGAGTTTGGAAAACGTCTTTTCTTAGAATCTGCGAAGGGATATTTGTGAGTCCTTTATGGCCTTTGTTGAAATATGAAATATCTTCACATAAAAAGTAGACAGAAGCTTTCTGACAAATTCCTTGGTGATGTGCACGTTTGCCACACGGAATTGAACCCTTCTTCTGATTGAGCAGTTTGGAATCAGTCTTTTTGTAGAATCTGTGAATGTGTATTTAGAGAGTTTTAAGGCCTAGGGTGCCAAAGGCAATGTCTTCACATAAAAACGACACAGTAGCTTTTTGAGAAAACTCTCTGCGACATTTCCATTCATCTCTGATAGTTGACCATTTCCTTTCATTGAGCAGTTTGGAAGCAGTCTTTTTCTACAAACTGCAAAGGGATATTTCTGAGCGGTTTGGGGCCAACGGTGAAAAATAAATATCTTCCCATGAAAACTAGACAGAAGCATTTTGAGAAACTTCTTTTTGATGTGTGTATTCATCTCACAGAGTTGAACCTTTCTTTTGATTTAGCAATCTGGAGAAAGTCTCTAGGTAGTATAAGTGGAGTTATATTTGCGAGCGGTTTAAGGCCTATGGTGCCAAAGGAAATACCTTCACATAAAATGTAGACAGAGGCTTTCCGAGAAACTTTCTTTGTGATGTGTGCTTTCGTCTCACAGAGTTGCGCCTTTCTTTTGATTGACCAGTTTGGGAACATTCTTTTTGTAGAATCTGCAAATGGATATTTGGAGCAATTTGTGGCCTACGGTGAAAAAGGAAATATCTTCACATAAAAACTAGACAGGAGAATCCTGAGAAACTTCTTTTTGATGAGTGCATTCATTTCACATAGTTGAAACATGCTATATGGGCCAGTTTGGAATCAGTCTTACTGTAGAGTCCGCAGACAGGTATTTTTGAGTGGCTTAAAGACCATGGTGAAAAAGGAAACATCTTCACATAGCAACCAGACAGAAGCAACCTGAGAAACGTCTTTGGGATGTGTTCATTCATCTCACAATGTTGAACGTTTCTCTTGATTGAGAAGTTTGTAAGGAGAACATTTGTAGAATCTGCAAAGGGGTATATGTGAGCCCCTTGATTCCTATGGCAAAATAGGAATCATCTTGAGATAAAAGCGAGACAGAAGATTTCTGAGAAACTTTTTTGTGATGTGTGCTTTCATCTCACAGAGTTGAAAATTTCTCTTGATTGAGCAGTTTGGAAACAGTCTCTTCGTATCATCTGCAAACGGATGTTTGGGGCGCTTTGTGGCCTAAGGTGAAAATGGAAACATCTTCACATAAAAACTAGACAGAAGAATTCTGAGGAACTTCTTTATGATGTGTGCATTCATCTCAGATGGGTGAAATTTTCTTTTGATGGAGCAGTTTGGAAACAGTCTTTTTCTAGTATCTGCAGAAGGATATTTGTGAGCGGTGTAAGGCCTATGGTGAAAAAGGAAATATCTTCACATAAAAACCAGACAGAAGCTTTCTGAGGAACTTCTTTGTGAGGTGTGCATTTATCTCACCGTGTTGAAACTTTATTTTATTTGAGCAGTTTAGAGACAGTCTTTCTCTGCAATCTGCAAAGGTCTAATTCTGAGCCCTTTGAGGTCTATGGTGAAAAAGAAATGTCTTCACATTTAAACTAGACAGAAGCATTCTGAGGAACTTCGTTGTGATGCCTCCATTCATCTGACAGAGTTGAAGGTTTCTTTTAATTCAGCACTTTGGAAAGCATATTTTTGTAGAATCTGCAAAGGGATATTTTTGAGACATTTGAAGCCTATAGTGAAATAGTAAATATCTTCACATGAAAACTAGACAGGAGAATTCTGAGAAACTTCATTCTGATGTGTGCATTAACCTCACAGAATGTAACCTTTCTTTTGATTGAGAAGTATGGAAATGGTGGTCTTTTAGAATCTGGAAAGGGATATTTCTTACCCCTTTGAGGCCTATGGTGAGACTGGAAATATCATCACATGAAAACTAGACCGAAGCTTTCGGAGAAACTCCTTTGAGATGTGTGCTTTCACCTCACAGAGTTAAACACTTTCTTTTGATGGAGCAGTTTGGAAACACTCTTTCTGTGACATCTGTAAATGGATATTAGGAGTGCTTTGAGGCCAATGGTGACAAAGGAAGTATCTTCACAGAAAAACTACACAGAAGTTTTCTGAGAAACTACTTTTTGATGTGTCCATTAACCTAACAGAGTTAAAACTTTCTTTTTATTGAGCAGTTTGGATACAGTCTTTTTGTAGAATCTGCAAAACATATTTGTGAGCCCTTTATTGCCTATGGTGGAATAGGAATCTTCTTCACATATAAACTAGACAGAAGCATTCTGAGGAACTTCTTCGTGACGTGTGCATTCGTCTCACATAGTTGAAACTTTCTTTGGATTGAGCAGTTTTGAAACAGTCCTTTTGTAGGATCTGCAAGGGGATATTTCTGAGCCCATTGAGTACTGTGATGCAATGTGAAGTATCTTCACATAAAAACTGGACAGAAGCTTTCTAAGAAACTTCGTTGTGATGTGTGCTTTCATCTCACAGAATTGAAACTATCCTTTGATTGAGGAGTTTGGAAACACTCTTTTTCTAGGATCTGCAAATGGATATTTGGAGAGCTTTAGAGGCCCGTGGTGAAAAACGAAATATCTTCACGTAAAAACTAAACAGAAGCTTTCTGAGAAACTCCCTTGCGTTGTGTGCATTCACCTCACCGAGAGGAAACTTTCTTTTGATTGAGCAGATTGGAAAGAGGCTTATCGTACAATCTGCAAAGGGAGAATTCTGATCCGTTTGAGGCTTATGGTGAAAGAGAAATATCTTCCCATAAAAACTAGACGGAAGCATTCCAAGAAATTGTTTGTGATGTGTCCATTCACGTCACAGAGTTGAACCTCTCCTTTGATTGAGCAGTTTGGAAACAGTCTTTTTGTAGAACCTGCAAAGGGATATTTGTGAGCCCTTTATGGCCTGTGGTGAAATACGAAGTATCTTCACCTAAAAACTAGACAGAAGGTTTCTGAGAAACTTCTTGGTGATGTGTGCCTTCATCTCACAGTGTTGAACCTTTCTTTTGATTGAGCAGTTTGGAAAGTCTTTCTGTAGAATCTGCAAATGGATATTTGGAGATATTTGAGGCCCGTGGTGAAAAAGGAAGTATCGTCACCTAAAAACCAGACAGAAGATTTCTGAAAAACCTCTTTGTGATGTGTGAATTCATGTCACAGAATTCAACCTTTCTTTCAGTTGAGCAGTTTGGAAACAGTCTTTGGTAGAAGCTGCAGAGGGAAATTTCTTAGCTGCTTGAGGCCTATGGTGAAAAAGAAGTATCTTCACAGAAAAACTAGACAGAAGCTTTCTGAGAAACTTCTTCGTGATGTGTCCATTCATCTCACAGTGTTAAACCTTTCTTTTGAGTGAGGAGTTTGGAAAACGTCTTTTCTTAGAATCTGCGAAGGGATATTTGTGAGCCCTTTATGGCCTTTGTTGAAATATGAAATATCTTCACATAAAAAGTAGACAGAAGCTTTCTGACAAATTTCTTGGTGATGTGCACGTTTGTCACACGGAATTGAACCCTTCTTCTGATTGAGCAGTTTGGAATCAGTCTTTTTGTAGAATCTGTGAATGTGCATTTAGAGAGTTTTAAGGCCTAGTGTGCAAAAGGCAATGTCTTCACATAAAAACGACACAGTGGCTTTTTGAGAAAACTCTTTGTGACATTTCCATTCATCTCTAATAGTTGGCCATTTCCTTACATTGAGCAGTTTGGAAGCAGTCTTTTTCTACAAACTGCAAAGGGATATTTCTGAGCGGTTTGGGGCCAACGGTGAAAAATAAATATCTTCCCATGAAAACTAGACAGAAGCATTTTGAGAAACTTCTTTTTGATGTGTGTATTCATCTTACAGAGTTGAACCTTTCTTTTGATTTAGCAATTTGGAGAAAGTCTCTTGGTAGTATAAGTGGAGTTATATTTGCGAGCGGTTTAAGGCCTATGGTGCCAAAGGAAATACCTTCACATAAAATGCAGACAGAAGCTTTCTGAGAAACTTCTTTGTGATGTGTGCTTTCGTCTCACAGAGTTGAGCCTTTCTGTTGATTGACCAGTTTGGAAACATTCTTTCTGTAGAATCCGCAAATGGATATTTGGAGCAATTTGCGGCCTGCGGTGAAGAAGGAAATATCTTCACATAAAAACTAGACAGAAGAATCCTGAGAAACTTCTTTTTGATGAGTGCATTCATTTCACATAGTTGAAACATGCTATATGGGCCAGTTTGGAAACAGTCTTTTGGTAGAGTCTGCAGACAGATATTTTTGAGGGGCTTAAGGACTATGGTGAAAAAGGAAACATCTTCACATAGCAACCAGACAGAAGCAACCTGAGAAACGTCTTTGGGATGTGTTCATTCACTTCACAATGATGAACGTTTCTTTTGATTGAGAAGTTTGTAAGGATAACTTTTGTAGAATCTGCAAAGGGATATATGTGAGCCCCTTGATTCCTATGGCAAAATAGGAATTATCTTGAGATAAAAGCCAGACAGAAGATTTCTGAGAAACTTTTTTGTGATGTGTACTTTCATCTCACAGAGTTGAAAAATTCTTTTGATTGAGCAGTTTGGAAACAGTCTTTTCGTATCATCTGCAAATGGATGTTTGGGGCGCTTTGTGGCCTAAGGTGAAAATGGAAACACCTTCACATAAAAACTAGACAGAAGAATTCTGAGGAACCTCTTTATGATGTGTGCATTCATCTCAGATGGGTGAAATTTTCTTTTGATGGAGCAGTTTGGAAACAGTCTTTTTCTAGTATCTGCAGAAGGATATTTGTGAGCGGTGTAAGGCCTATGGTGAAAAAGGAAATATCTTCACATAAAAAACAGACAGAAGCTTTCTGAGGAACTTTTTGTGAGGTGTGCATTCATCTCACCGTGTTGAAACTTTATTTTATTTGAGCAGTTTAGAGACAGTCTTTCTCTGCAATCTGCAAAGGTCTAATTCTGAGCCCTTTGAGGTCTATGGTGAAAAAGAAATATCTTCCCATTTAAACTAGACAGAAGCATTCTGAGGAACTTCGTTGTGATGCCTCTCCATTCATCGGACAGAGTTGAAGGTTTCTTTTAATTCAGCACTTTGGAAAGCATATTTTTGTAGAATCTGCAAAGGGATATTTTTGAGACATTTGAAGCCTAGAGTGAAATAGTAAATATCTTCCCATGAAAACTAGACAGGAGAATTCTGAGAAACTTCATTCTGATGTGTGCATTAACCTCACAGAATTTAACCTTTCTTTTGATTGAGAAGTATGGAAATGGTGGTCTTTTAGAACCTGGAAAGGGATATTTCTTAGCCCTTTGAGGCCTATGGTGAGACTGGAAATATCATCACATGAAAACTAGTCCGAAGCTTTCGGAGAAACTTCTTTGAGATGTGTGCTTTCACCTCACAGAGTTAATCACTTTCTTTTGATTGAGCAGTTTGGAAACACTCTTTCTGTGACATCTGTAAATGGATATTAGGAGTGCTTTGAGGCCAATGGTGACAAAGGAAATATCTTCACATAAAAACTACACAGAAGTTTTCTGAGAAACTACTTTTTGATGTGTCCATTAACCTAAAAGAGTTAAAACTTTCTTTTTATTGAGCAGTTTGGATACAGTCCTTTTGTAGAATCTGCAAAACATATTTGTGAGCCCTTTATTGCCTATGGTGAAATAGGAATCTTCTTCACATATAAACTAGACAGAAGCATTCTGAGGAACGTCTTCGTGACGTGTGCATTCATCTCACATAGTTGAAACTTTCTTTGGATTGAGCAGTTTTGAAACAGTCCTTTTGTAGGATCTGCAAGGGGATATTTCTGAGCCCATTGAGTACTGTGATGCAATGTGAAGTATCTTCACATAAAAACTACACAGACGCTTTCTAAGAAACTTCGTTGTGATGTGTGCTTTCATCTCACAGAATTGAAACTATCGTTTGATTGAGGAGTTTGGAAACACTCTTTTTCTAGAATCTGCAAATGGATATTTGGAGAGCTTTTGAGGCCCGTGGTGAAAAACGAAATATCTTCACGTAAAAACTAAACAGAAGCTTTCTGAGAAACTCCCTTGCGATGTGTGCATTCACCTCACCGAGTGGAAACTTTCTTTTGATTGAGCAGATTGGAAAGAGGCTTATCGTACAACCTGCAAAGGGAGAATTCTGATCCGTTTGAGGCTTATGGTGAAAGAGAAATATCTTCCCATAAAAACTAGACGGAAGCATTCCAAGAAATTTTTTGTGATGTGTCCATTCACGTCACAGAGTTGAACCTCTCCTTTGATTGAGCAGTTTGGAAACAGTCTTTTTGTAGAACCTGCAAAGGGATATTTGTGAGCCCTTTATGGCCTGTGGTGAAATACGAAGTATCTTCACCTAAAAACTAGACAGAAGGTTTCTGAGAACCTTCTTGGTGATGTGTGCCTTCATCTCACAGTGTTGAACCTTTCTTTTGATTGAGCAGTTTGCAAAGTCTTTCTGTAGAATCTGCAAATGGATATTTGGAAATATTTGAGGCCCGTGGTGAAAAAGGAAGTATCTTCACCTAAAAACCAGACAGAAGATTTCTGAAAAACCTCTTTGTGATGTGTGAATTCATGTCACAGAATTCAACCTTTCTTTCAGGTGAGCAGTTTGGAAACAGTCTTTGGTAGAAGCTGCAGAGGGAAATTTCTTAGCTGCTTGAGGCCTATGGTGAAAAAGAAATATCTTCACAGAAAAACTAGACAGAAGCTTTCTGAGAAACTTCTTCGTGATGTGTCCATTCATCTCACAGAGTTAAACCTTTCTTTTGATTGAGGAGTTTGGAAAATGTCTTTTCTTAGAATCTGCGAAGGGATATTTGTGAGCCCTTTATGGCCTTTGTTGAAATATGAAATATCTTCACATAAAAAGTAGACAGAAGCTTTCTGACAAATTCCTTGGTGATGTGCACGTTTGTCACACGGAATTGAACCCTTCTTCTGATTGAGCAGTTTGGAATCAGTCTCTTTGTAGAATCTGTGAATGTGTATATAGAGAGTTTTAAGGCCTAGGGTGCCAAAGGCAATGTCTTCACATAAAAACGACACAGTAGCTTTTTGAGAAAACTCTTTGTGACATTTCCATTCATCTCTAATAGTTGACCATTTCCTTTCATTGAGCAGTTTGGAAGCAGTCTTTTTCTACAAACTGCAAAGGGATATTTCGGAGCGGTTTGGGGACAACGGTGAAAAATAAATATCTTCCCATGAAAACTAGACAGAAGCATTTTGAGAAACTTCTTTTTGATGTGTGTATTCATCTCACAGAGTTGAACCTTTCTTTTGATTTAGCAATTTGGAGAAAGTCTCTTGGTAGTATAAGTGGAGTCATATTTGTGAGCGGTTTAAGGCCTATGGTGCCAAAGGAAATACCTTTACATAAAATGTAGACAGAAGCTTTCCGAGAAACTCCTTTGTGATGTGTGCTTTCGTCTCACAGGGTTGCGCCTTTCTTTTGATTGACCAGTTTGGGAACATTCTTTTTGTAGAATCTGCAAATGGATATTTGGAGCAATTTGTGGCCTACGGTGAAAAAGGAAATATCTTCACATAAAAACTAGACCGGAGAATCCTGAGAAACTTCTTTTTGATGAGTGCATTCATTTCACATAGTTGAAACATGCTATGTGGGCCAGTTTGGAAACAGTCTTTTGGTAGAGTCTGCAGACAGATATTTTTGAGTGGCTTAAAGACTATGGTGAAAAAGGAAACATCTTCACATAGCAACCTGACAGAAGCAACTTGAGAAACGTCTTTGGGATGTGTTCATTCATCTCACAATGTTGAACGTTTCTCTTGATTGAGAAGTTTGTAAGGAGAACATTTGTAGAATCTGCAAAGGGGTATATGTGAGCCCCTTGATTCCTATGGCAAAATAGGAATCATCTTGAGATAAAAGCGAGACAGAAGATTTCTGAGAAACTTTTCGTGATGTGTGCTTTCATCTCACAGAGTTGAAAATTTCTTTTGATTGAGCAGTTTGGAAACAGTCTTTTCGTATCATCTGCAAACGGATGTTTGGAGCGCTTTGTGGCCTAAGGTGAAAATGGAAACATCTTCACATAAAAACTAGACAGAAGAATTCTGAGGAACTTCTGTATGATGTGTGCATTCATCTCAGATAGGTGAAATTTTCTTTTGATGGAGCAGTTTGGAAACAGTCTTTTTATAGTATCTGCAGAAGGATATTCGTGAGCGGTGTAAGGCCTATGGTGAAAAAGGAAATATCTTCACATTAAAACCAGACAGAAGCTTTCTGAGGAACTTCTTTGTGATGTGTGCATTCATCTCACCGTGTTGAAACTTTATTTTATTTGAGCAGTTTAGAGACAGTCTTTCTCTGCAATCTGCAAAGGTCTAATTCTGAGCCCTTTGAGGTCTATGGTGAAAAAGAAATATCTTCACATTTAAACTAGACAGAAGCATTCTGAGGAACTTCGTTGTGATGCCTCCATTCATCTGACAGAGTTGAAGGTTTCTTCTAATTCAGCACTTTGGAAAGCATATTTTTGTAGAATCTGCAAAGGGATATTTTTTAGACTTTTGAAGCCTATAGTGAAATAGTAAATATCTTCCCATGAAAACTAGACAGGAGAATTCTGAGAAACTTCATTCTGACGTGGGCATTAACCTCAGAGAATTTAACCTTTCTTTTGATTGAGAAGTATGGAAACGGTCGTCTTTTAGAATCTGGAAAGGGATATTTCTTAGCCCTTTGAGGCCTACGGTGAAACTGGAAATATCTTCACATGAAAAGTAGACCGAAGCTTTCGGACAAACTTCTTTGAGATGTGTGCTTTCACCTCACAGAGTTAAACACTTTCTTTTGATTGAGCAGTTTGGAAACACTCTTTCTGTGACATCTGTAAATGGATATTAGGAGTGCTTTGAGGCCAATGGTGACAAAGGAAGTATCTTCACATAAAAACTACACAGAAGTTTTCTGAGAAACTACTTGTTGATGTGTCCATTGATGTAACAGAGTTAAAACTTTCTTTTTATTGAGCAGTTTGGATACAGTCTTTTTGTAGAATCTGCAAAAATATTTGTGAGCCCTTTATTGCCTATGGTGAAATAGGAATCTTCTTCACATGTAAACAAGACAGAAGCATTCTGAGGAAGGTCTTCATGACGTGTGCATTCGTGTCACATAGTTGAAGCTTTCTTTGGATTGAGCAGTTTTGAAACAGTCCTTTTGTAGGATCTGCAAGGGGATATTTCTGAGCCCATTGAGTACTGTGATGCAATGTGAAGTATCTTCACATAAAAACTAGACAGATGCTTTCTAAGAAACTTCGTTGTGATGTGTGCTTTCATCGCACAGAATTGAAGCTATCCTTTGATTGAGGCGATTGGAAACACTCTTTTTCTAGAATCTGCAAATGGATATTTGGAGAGCTTTTGAGGCCCGTGGTGAAAAACGAAATATCTTCACGTAAAAACTAAACAGAAGCTTTCTGAGAAACTCCCTTGCGATGTGTGCATTCACCTCACCGAGTGGAAACTTTCTTTTGATTGAGCAGATTGGAAAGAGGCTTATCGTACAATCTGCAGAGGGAGAATTCTGATCCGTTTGAGGCTTATGGTGAAAGAGAAATATCTTCCCATAAGAACTAGACGGAAGCATTCTAAGAAATTTTTTGTGATGTGTCCATTCACGTCACAGAGTTGAACCTCTCCTTTGATTGGGCAGTTTGGAAACAGTCTTTTTGTAGAACCTGCAAAGGGATATTTGTGAGCCCTTTATGGCCTGTGGTGAAATACGAAGTATCTTCACCTAAAAACTAGACAGAAGGTTTCTGAGAAACTTCTTGGTGATGTGTGCCTTCATCTCACAGTGTTGAACCTTTCTTTTGATTGAGCAGTTTGGAAAGTCTTTCTGTAGAATCTGCAAATGGATATTTGGAGATATTTGAGGCCCGTGCTGAAAAAGGAAGTATCGTCACCTAAAAACCAGACAGAAGATTTCTGGAAAACCTCTTTGTGATGTGTGAATTCATGTCACAGAATTCAACCTTTCTTTCAGTTGAGCAGTTTGGAAACAGTCTTTGGTAGAAGCTGCAGAGGGAAATTTCTTAGCTGCTTGAGGCCTATGGTGAAAAAGAAATATCTTCACAGAAAAACTAGACAGAAGCTTTCTGAGAAACTTCTTCATGATGTGTCCATTCATCACACAGAGTTAAACCTTTCTTTTGATTGAGGAGTTTGGAAAACGTCTTTTCTTAGAATCTGCGAAAGGATATTTGTGAGCCCTTTATGGCCTTTGTTGAAATATGAAATATCTTCACATAAAAAGTAGACAGAAGCTTTCTGACAAATTCCTTGGTGATGTGCACGTTTGTCACACGGAATTGAACCCTTCTTCTGATTGAGCAGTTTGGAATCAGTCTTTTTGTAGAATCTGTGAATGTGTATTTAGAGAGTTTTAAGGCCTAGGGTGCCAAAGGCAATGTCTTCACATAAAAACGACACAGTAGCTTTTTGAGAAAACTCTTTGTGACATTTCCATTCATCTCTAATAGTTGGCCATTTCCTTTCATTGAGCAGTTTGGAAGCAGTCTTTTTCTACAAACTGCAAAGGGATATTTCTGAGCGGTTTGGGGCCAACGGTGAAAAATAAACATCTTCCCATGAAAACTAGACAGAAGCATTTTGAGAAACTTCTTTTTGATGTGTGTATTCATCTCACAGAGTTGAACCTTTCTTTTGATTTAGCAATTTGGAGAAAGTCTCTTGGTAGTATAAGTGGAGTCATATTTGCGAGCGGTTTAAGGCCTATGGTGCCAAAGGAAATACCTTCACATAAAATGCAGACAGAAGCTTTCCGAGAAACTTCTTTGTGATGTGTGCTTTCGTCTCACAGAGTTGCGCCTTTCTTTTCATTGACCAGTTTGGGAACATTCTTTTCGTACAATCTGCAAATGGATATTTGGAGCAATTTGTGGCCTTCGGTGAAAAAGGAAATATCTTCACATGAAAACTAGACAGGGAGACTCCTGAGAAACTTCTTTTTGATGAGTGCATTCATTTCACATAGTTGAAACATGCCATATGGGCCAGTTTGGAAACAGTCTTTTTGTAGAGTCTGCAGACAGATATTTTTGAGTGGCTTAAAGACTATGGTGAAAAAGGAAACATCTTCACATAGCAACCAGACAGAAGCAACCTGAGAAACGTCTTTGGGATGTGTTCATTCATCTCACAATGTTGAACGTTTCTTTTGATTGAGAAGTTTGTAAGGAGAACATTTGTAGAATCTGCAAAGGGGTATATGTGAGCCCCTTGTTTCCTATGGCAAAATAGGAATTATCTTGAGATAAAAGCGAGACAGAAGATTTCTGAGAAACTTTTTTGTGATGTGTGCTTTCATCTCACAGAGTTGAAAATTTCTCTTGATTGAGCAGTTTGGAAACAGTCTTTTCGTATCATCTGCAAACGGATGTTTGGGGCGCTTTGTGGCCTAAGGTGAAAATGGAAACATCTTCACATAAAAACTAGACAGAAGAATTCTGAGGAACTTCTTTATGATGTGTGCATTCATCTCAGATAGGTGAAATTTTCTTTTGATGGAGCAGTTTGGAAACCGTCTTTTTATAGTATCTGCAGAAGGATATTTGTGAGCGGTGTAAGGCCTATGGTGAAAAAGGAAATATCTTCACATAAAAACCAGACAGAAGCTTTCTGAGGAACTTCTTTGTGATGTGTGCATTCATCTCACCGTGTTGAAACTTTATTTTATTTGAGCAGTTTAGAGACAGTCTTTCTCTGCAATCTGCAAAGGTCTAATTCTGAGCCCTTTGAGGTCTATGGTGAAAAAGAAATGTCTTCACATTTCAACTAGACAGAAGCATTCTGAGGATCTTCGTTGTGATGCCTCTCCATTCATCTGACAGAGTTGAAGGGTTCTTTTAATTCAGCACTTTGGAAAGCATATTTTTGTAGAATCTGCAAAGGGATATTTTTGAGACATTTGAAGCCTATAGTGAAATAGTAAATATCTTCACATGGAAACTAGACAGGAGAATTCTGAGAAACTTCCTTCTGATGTGTGCATTAACCTCACAGAATTTAACCTTTCTTTTGATTGAGAAGTATGGAAATGGTGGTCTTTTAGAACCTGGAAAGGGATATTTCTTAGCCCTTTGAGGCCTATGGTGAGACTGGAAATACCATCACATGAAAACTAGTCCGAAGCTTTCGGAGAAACTTCTTTGAGATGTGTGCTTTCACCTCACAGAGTAAAACACTATCTTTTGATTGAGCAGTTTGGAAACACTCTTTCTGTGACATCTGTAAATGGATATTAGGAGTGCTTTGAGGCCAATGGTGACAAAGGAAGTATCTTCACATAAAAACTACACAGAAGTTTTCTGAGAAACTACTTGTTGATGTGTCCATTGATGTAACAGAGTTAAAACTTTCTTTTTATTGAGCAGTTTGGATACAGTCTTTTTGTAGAATCTGCAAAAAATATTTGTGAGCCCTTTATTGCCTATGGTGAAATAGGAATCTTCTTCACATGTAAACAAGACAGAAGCATTCTGAGGAACTTCTTCGTGACGTGTGCATTCATCTCACATAGTTGAAACTTTCTTTGGATTGAGCAGTTTTGAAACAGTCCTTTTGTAGGATCTGCAAGGGGATATTTCTGAGCCCATTGAGTACTGTGATGCAATGTGAAGTATCTTCACATAAAAACTAGACAGACGCTTTCTAAGAAACTTCGTTGTGATGTGTGCTTTCATCTCACAGAATTGAAACTATCCTTTGATTGAGGAGTTTGGAAACACTCTTTTTCTAGAATCTGCAAATGGATATTTGGAGAGCTTTTGAGGCCCGTGGTGAAAAGCGAAATATCTTCACGTAAAAACTAAACAGAAGCTTTCTGAGAAACTCCCTTGTGATGTGTGCATTCACCTAACCGAGTGGAAACTTTCTCTTGATTGAGCAGATTGGAAAGAGGCTTATTGTACAATCTGCAAAGGGAGAATTCTGATCCGTTTGAGGCTTATGGTGAAAGAGAAATATCTTCCCATAAGAACTAGACGGAAGCATTCCAAGAAATTGTTTGTGATGTGTCCATTCACGTCACAGAGTTGAACCTCTCCTTTGATTGATCAGTTTGGAAACAGTCTTTTTGTAGAACCTGCAGAGGGATATTTGTGAGCCCTTTATGGCCTGTGGTGAAATACGAAGTATCTTCACCTAAAAACTAGACAGAAGGTTTCTGAGAAACTTCTTGGTGATGTGTGCCTTCATCTCACAGTGTTGAACCTTTCTTTTGATTGAGCAGTTTGGAAAGTCTCTCTGTAGAATCTGCAAATGGATATTTGGAGATATTTGAGGCCCGTGCTGAAAAAGGAAGTATCGTCACCTAAAAACCAGACAGAAGATTTCTGAAAAACCTCTTTGTGATGTGTGAATTCATGTCACAGAATTCAACCTTTCTTTCAGGTGAGCAGTTTGGAAACAGTCTTTGGTAGAAGCTGCAGAGGGAAATTTCTTAGCTGCTTGAGGCCTATGGTGAAAAAGAAATATCTTCAAAGAAAAACTAGACAGAAGCTTTCTGAGAAACTTCTTCGTGATGTGTCCATTCATCTCACAGAGTTAAACCTTTCTTTTGATTGAGGAGTTTGCAAAACGTCTTTTCTTAGAATCTGCGAAGGGATATTTGTGAGCCCTTTTTGGCCTTTGTTGAAATATGAAATATCTTCACATAAAAAGTAGACAGAAGCTTTCTGACAAATTTCTTGGTGATGTGCACGTTTGTCACACGGAATTGAACCCTTCTTCTGATTGAGCAGTTTGGAATCAGTCTTTTTGTAGAATCTGTGAATGTGCATTTAGAGAGTTTTAAGGCCTAGGGTGCCAAAGGCAATGTCTTCACATGAAAACGACACAGTAGCTTTTTGAGAAAACTGTTTGTGACATTTCCATTCATCTCTAATAGTTGACCATTTCCTTTCATTGAGCAGTTTGGAAGCAGTCTTTTTCTACAAACTGCAAAGGGATATTTCTGAGCGGTTTGGGGCCAACGGTGAAAAATAAATATCTTCCCATGAAAACTAGACAGAAGCATTTTGAGGAACTTCTTTTTGATGTGTGTATTCATCTCACAGAGTTGAACCTTTCTTTTGATTTAGCAATCTGGAGAAAGTCTCTAGGTAGTATAAGTGGAGTTATATTTGCGAGCGGTTTAAGGCCTATGGTGCCAAAGGAAATACCTTCACATAAAATGTAGACAGAAGCTTTCCGGGAAACTTCTTTGTGATGTGTGCTTTCATCTCACAGAGTTGCGCCTTTCTTTTGATTGACCAGTTTGGGAACATTCTTTTTGTAGAATCTGCAAATGGATATTTGGAGCAATTTGTGGCCTACGGTGAAAAAGGAAATATCTTCACATAAAAACTAGACAGGAGAATCCTGAGAACCTTCTTTTTGATGAGTGCATTCATTTCACATCGTTGAAACATGCTATATGGGCCAGTTTGGAAACAGTCTTTTTGTGGAGTCTGCAGACAGATATTTTTGAGTGGCTAAAAGACTATGGTGAAAAAGGAAACATCTTCACATAGCAACCAGACAGAAGCAACCCTGAGAAACTTCTTTGGGATGTGTTCATTCATCTCCCAATGTTGAACGTTTCTTTTGATTGAGAAGTTTGTAAAGAGAACTTTTGTAGAATCCGCAAAGGGATATATGTGAGCCCCTTGATTCCTATGGCAAAATAGGAATTATCTTGAGATAAAAGCGAGACAGAAGGTTTCTGAGAAACTTTTTTGTGATGTGTGCTTTCATCTCACAGAGTTGAAAATTTCTTTTGATTGAGCAGTTTGGAAACAGTCTTTTCGTATCATCTGCAAATGGATGTTTGGGGCGCTTTGTGGCCTAAGGTGAAAATGGAAACACCTTCACATAAAAACTAGACAGAAGAATTCTGAGGAACTTCTTTATGATGTGTGCATTCATCTCAGATAGGTGAAATTTTCTTTTGATGGAGCAGTTTGGAAACCGTCTTTTTATAGTATCTGCAGAAGGATATTCGTGAGCGGTGTAAGGCCTATGGTGAAAAAGGAAATATCTTCACATAAAAACCAGACAGAAGCCTTCTGAGGAACTTCTTTGTGATGTGTGCGTTCATCTCACCGTGTTGAAACTTTATTTTATTTGAGCAGTTTAGAGACAGTCTTTCTCTGCAATCTGCAAAGGTCTAACTCTGAGCCCTTTGAGGTCTATGGTGAAAAAGAAATGTCTTCACATTTAAACTAGACAGAAGCATTCTGAGGAACTTCTTCGTGATGTCTCCATTCACCTGACAGAGTTGAAGGTTTCTTTTAATTCAGCACTTTGGAAAGCATATTTTTGTAGAATCTGCAAAGGGATATTTTTGAGATATTTGAAGCCTATAGTGAAATAGTAAATATCTTCACATGAAAACTAGACAGGAGAATTCTGAGAAACTTCATTCTGACGTGGACATTAACCTCAGAGTATTTAACCTTTCTTTTGATTGAGAAGTATGGAAACGGTCGTCTTTTAGAATCTGGAAAGGGATATTTCTTAGCCCTTTGAGGCCTACGGTGAAACTGGAAATATCTTCACATGAAAAGTAGACCGAAGCTTTCGGAGAAACTTCTTTGAGATGTGTGCTTTCACCTCACAGAGTTAAACACTTTCTTTTGATTGAGCAGTTTGGAAACACTCTTTCTGTGACATCTGTAAATGGATATTAGGAGTGCTTTGAGGCCAATGGTGACAAAGGAAGTATCTTCACATAAAAAGTACACAGAAGTTTTCTGAGAAACTACTTGTTGATGTGTCCATTAATGTAACAGAGTTAAAACTTTCTTTTTATTGAGCAGTTTGGATACAGTATTTTTGGAGAATCTCACAAAAAATATTTGTGAGCCCTTTATTGCCTATGGTGAAATAGGAATCTTCTTCACATGTAAACAAGACAGAAGCATTCTGAGGAACGTCTTCGTGACGTGTGCATTCATCTCACATAGTTGAAACTTTCTTTGGATTGAGCAGTTTTGAATCAGTCCTTTTGTAGGATCTGCAAGGGGATATTTCTGAGCCCATTGAGTACTGTGATGCAATGTGAAGTATCTTCACATAAAAACTACACAGAAGCTTTCTAAGAAACTTCGTTGTGATGTGTGCTTTCATCTCACAGAATTGAAACTATCCTTTGATTGAGGAGTTTGGAAACACTCTTTTTCTAGAATCTGCAAATGGATATTTGGAGAGCTTTAGAGGCCCGTGGTGAAAAACGAAATATCTTCACGTAAAAACTAAACAGAAGCTTTGTGAGAAACTCCCTTGCGATGTGTGCATTCACCTCACCGAGTGGAAACTTTCTTTTGATTGAGCAGATTGGAAAGAGGCTTATCGTACAATCTGCAAAGGGAGAATTCTGATCCGTTTGAGGCTTATGGTGAAAGAGAAATATCTTCCCATAAGAACTAGACGGAAGCATTCCAAGAAATTGTTTGTGATGTGTCCATTCACGTCACAGAGTTGAACCTCTCCTTTGATTGATCAGTTTGGAAACAGTCTTTTTGTAGAACCTGCAAAGGGATATTTGTGAGCCCTTTATGGCCTGTGGTGAAATACGAAGTATCTTCACCTAAAAACTAGACAGAAGATTTCTGAGAAACTTCTTGGTGATGTGTGCCTTCATCTCACAGTGTTGAACCTTTCTTTTGATTGAGCAGTTTGGAAAGTCTTTCTGTAGAATCTGCAAATGGATATTTGGAGATATTTGAGGCCCGTGGTGAAAAAGGAAGTATCTTCACCTAAAAACCAGACAGGAGATTTCTGAAAAACCTCTTTGTGATGTGTGAATTCATGTCACAGAATTCAACCTTTCTTTCAGTTGAGCAGTTTGGAAACAGTCTTTGGTAGAAGCTGCAGAGGGAAATTTCTTAGCTGCTTGAGGCCTATGGTGAAAAAGAAATATCTTCACAGAAAAACTAGACAGAAGCTTTCTGAGAAACTTCTTCGTGATGTGTCCATTCATCTCACAGTGTTAAACCTTTCTTTTGATTGAGGAGTTTGGCAAACGTCTTTTCTTAGAATCTGCGAAGGGATATTTGTGAGCCCTTTATGGCCTTTGTTGAAATATGAAATATCTTCACATAAAAAGTAGACAGAAGCTTTCTGACAAATTCCTTGGTGATGTGCACGTTTGCCACACGGAATTGAACCCTTCTTCTGATTGAGCAGTTTGGAATCAGTCTTTTTGTAGAATCTGTGAATGTGTATTGAGAGAGTTTTAAGGCCTAGGGTGCCAAAGGCAATGTCTTCACATAAAAACGACACAGTAGCTTTTTGAGAAAACTCTTTGTGACATTTCCATTCATCTCTAATAGTTGGCCATTTCCTTTCATTGAGCAGTTTGGAAGCAGTCTTTTTCTACAAACTGCAAAGGGATATTTCTGAGCGGTTTGGGGCCAACGGTGAAAAATAAATATCTTCCCATGAAAACTAGACAGAAGCATTTTGAGAAACTTCTTTTTGATGTGTGTATTCATCTCACAGAGTTGAACCTTTCTTTTGATTTAGCAATCTGGAGAAAGTCTCTAGGTCGTTTAATTGGAGTTATATTTGCGAGCGGTTTAAGGCCTATGGTGCCAAAGGAAATACGTTCACATAAAATGTAGACAGAAGCTTTCCGAGAAACTCCTTTGTGATGTGTGCTTTCGTCTCACAGAGTTGCGCCTTTCTTTTGATTGACCAGTTTGGGAACATTCTTTTTGTAGAATCTGCAAATGGATATTTGGAGCAATTTGTGGCCTACGGTGAAAAAGGAAATATCTTCACATAAAAACTAGACAGGAGAATCCTGAGAAACTTCTTTTTGATGAGTGCATTCATTTCACATAGTTGAAACATGCTATATGGGCCAGTTTGGAAACAGTCTTTTGGTAGAGTCTGCAGACAGATATTTTTGAGTGGCTTAAAGACTATGGTGAAAAAGGAAACATCTTCACATAGCAACCAGACAGAAGCAACCTGAGAAACTTCTTTGGGATGTGTTCATTCATCTCCCAATGTTGAACGTTTCTTTTGATTGAGAAGTTTGTAAAGAGAACTTTTGTAGAATCCGCAAAGGGATATATGTGAGCCCCCTGATTCCTATGGCAAAATAGGAATTATCTTGAGATAAAAGCGAGACAGAAGATTTCTGAGAAACTTTTTTGTGATGTGTGCTTTCATCTCACAGAGTTGAAAATTTCTTTTGATTGAGCAGTTTGGAAACAGTCTTTTCGTATCATCTGCAAACGGATGTTTGGAACGCTTTGTGGCCTAAGGTGAAAATGGAAACATTCTTCACATAAAAACTAGACAGAAGAATTCTGAGGAACTTCTTTATGATGTGTGCATTCATCTCAGATGGGTGAAATTTTCTTTTGATGGAGCAGTTTGGAAACCGTCTTTTTCTAGTATCTGCAAAAGGATATTTGTGAGCGGTGTAAGGCCTATGGTGGAAAAGGAAATATCTTCACATAAAAACCAGACAGAAGCTTTCTGAGGAACTTCTTTGTGAGGTGTGCATTCATCTCACCGTGTTGAAACTTTATTTTATTTGAGCAGTTTAGAGACAGTCTTTCTCTGCAATCTGCAAAGGTCTAATTCTGAGCCCTTTGAGGTCTATGGTGAAAAAGAAATGTCTTCACATTTCAACTAGACAGAAGCATTCTGAGGAACTTCTTTGTGATGTCTCCATTCATCTGACAGAGTTGAAGGTTTCTTTTAATTCAGCACTTTGGAAAGCATATTTTTGTAGAATCTGCAAAGGGATATTTTTGAGACATTTGAAGCCTATAGTGAAATAGTAAATATCTTCCCATGAAAACTAGACAGGAGAATTCTGAGAAACTTCATTCTGATGTGTGCATTAACCTCACAGAATTTAACCTTTCCTTTGATTGAGAAGTATGGAAATGGTGGTCTTTTAGAATCTGGAAATGGATATTTCTTAGCCCTTTGAGGCCTATGGTGAGACTGGAAATATCATCACATGAAAACTAGACCGAAGCTTTCGGAGAAACTTCTTTGAGATGTGTGCTTTCACCTCACAGAGTTAAACACTTTCTTTTGATTGAGCAGTTTGGAAACACTCTTTCTGTGACATCTGTAAATGGATATTAGGAGTGCTTTGAGGCCAATGGTGACAAAGGAAGTATCTTCACATAAAAACTACACAGAAGTTTTCTGAGAAACTACCTTTCGATGTGTCCATTAATCAAACAGAGTTAAAACTTTATTTTTATTGAGCAGTTTGGATACAGTCTTTTTGTAGAATCTGCAAAACATATTTGTGAGCCCTTTATTGCCTATGGTGGAATAGGAATCTTCTTCACATATAAACTAGACAGAAGCATTCTGAGGCACTTCTTCGTGACGTGTGCATTCGTCTCACATAGTTGAAACTTTCTTTGGATTGAGCAGTTTTGAAACAGTCCTTTTGTAGGATCTGCAAGGGGATATTTCTGAGCCCCTTGAGTACTGTGATGCAATGTGAAGTATCTTCACATAAAAACTTCACAGAGGCTTTCTAAGAAACTTCGTTGTGATGTCTGCTTTCCTCTCACAGAATTGAAACTATCCTTTGATTGAGGAGTTTGGAAACACTCTTTTTCTAGAATCTGCAAATGGATATTTGGAGAGCTTTTGAGGCCCGTGGTGAAAAACGAAATACCTTCACGTAAAAACTAAACAGAAGCTTTCTGAGAAACTCCCTTGCGATGTGTGCATTCACCTCACCGAGTGGAAACTTTCTTTTGATTGAGCAGATTGGAAAGAGGCTTATTGTACAATCTGCAAAGGGAGAATTCTGATCCGTTTGAGGCTTATGGTGAAAGAGAAATATCTTCCCATAAGAACTAGACGGAAGCATTCCAAGAAATTTTTTATGATGTGTCCATTCACGTCACAGAGTTGAACCTCTCCTTTGATTGAGCAGTTTGGAAACAGTCTTTTTGTAGAACCTGCAAAGGGATATTTGTGAGCCCTTTATGGCCTGTGGTGAAATACGAAGTATCTTCACCTAAAAACTAGACAGAAAGTTTCTGAGAAATTTCTTGGTGATGTGTGCCTTCATCTCACAGTGTTGAACCTTTCTTTTGATTGAGCAGTTTGGAAAGTCTTTCTGTAGAATCTGCAAATGGATATTTGGAGATATTTGAGGCCCGTGCTGAAAAAGGAAGTATCGCCACCTAAAAACCAGACAGAAGATTTCTGAAAAACCTCTTTGTGATGTGTGAATTCATGTCACAGAATTCAACCTTTCTTTCAGGTGAGCAGTTTGGAAACAGTCTTTGGTAGAAGCTGCAGAGAGAAATTTCTTAGCTGCTTGAGGCCTATGGTGAAAAAGAAATATCGTCACAGAAAAACTAGACAGAAGCTTTCTGAGAAACTTCTTCGTGATGTGTCCATTCATCTCACAGAGTTAAAACTTTCTTTTGATTGAGGAGTTTGGAAAACGTCTTTTCTTAGAATCTGCGAAGGGATATTTGTGAGCCCTTTATGGCCTTTGTTGAAATATGAAATATCTTCACATAAAAAGTAGACAGAAGCTTTCTGACAAATTTCTTGGTGATGTGCACGTTTGTCACACGGAATTGAACCCTTCTTCTGATTGAGCAGTTTGGAATCAGTCTTTTTGTAGAATCTGTGAATGTGCATTTAGAGAGTTTTAAGGCCTAGGGTGCAAAAGGCAATGTCTTCACATAAAAACGACACAGTAGATTTTCGAGAAAACTCTTTGTGACATTTCCATTCATCTCTAATAGTTGACCATTTCCTTTCATTGAGCAGTTTGGGAGCAGTCTTTTCCTACAAACTGCAAAGGGATATTTCTGAGCGGTTTGGGGCCAACGGTGAAAAATAAATATCTTCCCATGAAAACTAGACAGAAGCATTTTGAGAAACTTCTTTTTGATGTGTGTATTCATCTCACAGAGTTGAACCTTTCTTTTGATTTAGCAATCTGGAGAAAGTCTCTAGGTCGTTTAATTGGAGTTATATTTGTGAGCGGTTTAAGGCCTATGGTGCCAAAGGAAATACGTTCACATAAAATGTAGACAGAAGCTTTCCGGGAAACTTCTTTGTGATGTGTGCTTTCGTCTCACAGAGTTGCGCCTTTCTTTTGATTGACCAGTTTGGGAACATTCTTTTTGTAGAATCTGCAAATGGATATTTGGAGCAATTTGTGGCCTACGGTGAAAAAGGAAATATCTTCACATAAAAACTAGACAGGAGAATCCTGAGAAACTTCTTTTTGATGAGTGCATTCATTTCACATAGTTGAAACATGCTATATGGGCCAGTTTGGAAACGGTCTTTTGGTAGAGTCTGCAGACAGATATTTTTGAGTGGCTTAAAGACTATGGTGAAAAAGGAAACATCTTCACATAGCAACCAGACAGAAGCAACCTGAGAAACGTCTTTGGGATGTGTTCATTCATCTCACAATGTTGAACGTTGCTCTTGATTGAGAAGTTTGTAAGGAGAACATTTGTAGAATCTGCAAAGGGATATATGTGAGCCCCTTGATTTCCTATGGCAAAATAGGAATCATCTTGAGATAAAAGCGAGATAGAAGATTTCTGAGAAACTTTTTCGTGATGTGTGCTTTCATCTCACAGAGTTGAAAATTTCTTTTCACTGAGCAGTTTGGAAACAGTCTTTTCGTATCATCTGCAAACGGATGTTTGGAGCGCTTTGTGGCCTAAGGTGAAAATGGAAACATCTTCACATAAAAACTAGACAGAAGAATTCTGAGGAACTTCTTTATGATGTGTGCATTCATCTCAGATAGGTGAAATTTTCTTTTGATGGAGCAGTTTGGAAACAGTCTTTTTCTAGTATCTGCAGAAGGATATTTGTGAGCGGTGTAAGGCCTATGGTGAAAAAGGAAATATCTTCACATAAAAACCAGACAGAAGCTTTCTGAGGAACTTCTTTGTGAGGTGTGCATTCATCTCACCGTGTTGAAACTTTATTTTATTTGAGCAGTTTAGAGACAGTCTTTCTCTGCAATCTGCAAAGGTCTAATTCTGAGCCCTTTGAGGTCTATGGTGAAAAAGAAATATCTTCCCATTTAAACTAGACAGAAGCATTCTGAGGAACTTCTTTGTGATGTCTCCATTCATCTGACAGAGTTGAAGGTTTCTTTTAATTCAGCACTTTGGAAAGCATATTTTTGTAGAATCTGCAAAAGGATATTTTTGAGACATTTGAAGCCTATAGTGAAATAGTAAATATCTTCACATGAAAACTAGACAGGAGAATTCTGAGAAACTTCATTCTGATGTGTGCATTAACCTCACAGAATTTAACCTTTCTTTTGATTGAGAAGTATGGAAATGGTGGTCTTTTAGAATCTGGAAAGGGATATTTCTTAGCCCTTTGAGGCCTATGGTGAGACTGGAAATATCATCACATGAAAACTAGACCGAAGCTTTCGGAGAAACTTCTTTGAGATGTGTGCTTTCACCTCACAGAGTTAAACACTTTCTTTTGATGGAGCAGTTTGGAAACACTCTTTCTGTGACATCTGTAAATGGATATTAGGAGTGCTTTGAGGCCAATGGTGACAAAGGAAGTATCTTCACATAAAAACTACACAGAAGTTTTCTGAGAAACTACTTTTTGATGTGTCCATTAACCTAACAGAGTTAAAACTTTCTTTTTATTGAGCAGTTTGGGTACAGTCTTTTTGTAGAATCTGCAAAACATATTTGTGAGCCCTTTATTGCCTATGGTGGAATAGGAATCTTCTTCACATATAAAGTAGACAGAAGCATTCTGAGGAACGTCTTCGTGACGTGCGCATTCATCTCACATAGTTGAAACTTTCTTTGGATTGAGCAGTTTTGAAACAGTCCTTTTGTAGGATCTGCAAGGGGATATTTCTGAGCCCATTGAGTACTGTGATGCAATGTGAAGTATCTTCACATAAAAACTACACAGAAGCTTTCTAAGAAACTTCGTTGTGATGTGTGCTTTCATCTCACAGAATTGAAACTATCCTTTGATTGAGGAGTTTGGAAACACTCTTTTTCTAGAATCTGCAAATGGATATTTGGAGAGCTTTTGAGGCCCGTGGTGAAAAACGAAATATCTTCACGTAAAAACTAAACAGAAGCTTTCTGAGAAACTCCCTTGCGATGTGTGCATTCACCTCACCGAGTGGAAACTTTCTTTTGATTGAGCAGATTGGAAAGAGGCTTATCGTACAATCTGCAAAGGGAGAATTCTGATCCGTTTGAGGCTTATGGTGAAAGAGAAATATCTTCCCATAAAAACTAGACGGAAGCATTCCAAGAAATTGTTTGTGATGTGTCCATTCACGTCACAGAGTTGAACCTCTCCTTTGATTGAGCCGTTTGGAAACAGTCTTTTTGTAGAACCTGCAAAGGGATATTTGTGAGCCCTTTATGGCCTGTGGTGAAATACGAAGTATCTTCACCTAAAAACTAGACAGAAGGTTTCTGAGAAACTTCTTGGTGATGTGTGCCTTCATCTCACAGTGTTGAACCTTCTTTTGATTGAGCAGTTTGGAAAGTCTTTCTGTAGAATCTGCAAATGGATATTTGGAGATATTTGAGGCCCGTGGTGAAAAAGGAGGTATCGTCACCTAAAAACCAGACAGAAGATTTCTTAAAAACCTCTTTGTGATGTGTGAATTCATGTCACAGAATTCAACCTTTCTTTCAGTTGAGCAGTTTGGAAACAGTCTTTGGTAGAAGCTGCAGAGGGAAATTTCTTAGCTGCTTGAGGCCTATGGTGAAAAAGAAATATCTTCACAGAAAAACTAGACAGAAGCTTTCTGAGAAACTTCTTCGTGATGTGTCCATTCATCTCACAGAGTTAAACCTTTCTTTTGATTGAGGAGTTTGGAAAACGTCTTTTCTTAGAATCTGCGAAGGGATATTTGTGAGCCCTTTATGGCCTTTGTTGAAATATGAAATATCTTCACATAAAAAGTAGACAGAGGCTTTCTGACAAATTTCTTGGTGATGTGCACGTTTGTCACACGGAAATTGAACCCTTCTTCTGATTGAGCAGTTTGGAATCAGTCTTTTTGTAGAATCTGTGAATGTGTATTTAGAGAGTTTTAAGGCCTAGGGTGCAAGAGGCAATGTCTTCACATAAAAACGACACAGTGGCTTTTTGAGAAAACTCTTTGTGACATTTCCATTCATCTCTAATAGTTGGCCATTTCCTTACATTGAGCAGTTTGGAAGCAGTCTTTTTCTACAAACTGCAAAGGGATATTTCTGAGCGGTTTGGGGCCAATGGTGAAAAATAAATATCTTCCCATGAAAACTAGACGGAAGCATTTTGAGAAACTTCTTTTTGATGTGTGTATTCATCTCACAGAGTTGAACCTTTCTTTTGATTTAGCAATTTGGAGAAAGTCTCTTGGTAGTATAAGTGGAGTTATATTTGCGAGCGGTTTAAGGCCTATGGTGCCAAAGGAAATACCTTCACATAAAATGTAGACAGAGGATTTCCGAGAAACTTCTTTGTGATGTGTGCTTTCGTCTCACAGAGTTGCGCCTTTCTGTTGATTGACCAGTTTGGGAACATTCTTTTTGTAGAATCTGCAAATGGATATTTGGAGCAATTTGTGGCCTACGGTGAAAAAGGAAATATCTTCACATGAAAACTAGACAGGAGACTCCTGAAAAACTACTTTTTGATGAGTGCATTCGTTTCACATAGTTGAAACATGCCATATGGGCCAGTTTGGAAAGAGTCTTTTTGTAGAGTCTGCAGACAGATATTTTTGAGTGGCTTAAAGACTATGGTGAAAAAGGAAACATCTTCACATAGCAACCAGACAGAAGCAACCTGAGAAACTTCTTTGGGATGTGTTCATTCATCTCCCAATGTTGAACGTTTCTTTTGATTGAGAAGTTTGTAAAGAGAACTTTTGTAGAATCCGCAAAGGGATATATGTGAGCCCCTTGATTCCTATGGCAAAATAGGAATTATCTTGAGATAAAAGCGAGACAGAAGATTTCTGAGAAACTTTTTTGTGATGTGTGCTCTCATCTCACAGAGTTGAAAATTTCTTTTGATTGAGCAGTTTGGAAACAGTCTTTTCGTATCATCTGCAAACGGATGTTTGGAGCGCTTTGTGGCCTAAGGTGAAAATGGAAACATCTTCACATAAAAACTAGACAGAAGAATTCTGAGGAACTTCTTTATGATGTGTGCATTCATCTCAGATGGGTGAAATTTTCTTTTGATGGAGCAGTTTGGAAACAGTCTTTTTCCAGTATCTGCAAAAGGATATTTGTGAGCGGTGTAAGGCCTATGGTGGAAAAGGAAATATCTTCACATAAAAACCAGACAGAAGCCTTCTGAGGAACTTCTTTGTGATGTGTGCGTTCATCTCACCGTGTTGAAACTCTATTTTATTTGAGCAGTTTAGAGACAGTCTTTCTCTGCAATCTGCAAAGGTCTAACTCTGAGCCCTTTGAGGTCTATGGTGAAAAAGAATTGTCTTCACATTTAAACTAGACAGAAGCATTCTGAGGAACTTCTTCGTGATGTCTCCATTCATCTGACAGAGTTCAAGGTTTCTTTTAATTCAGCACTTTGGAAAGCATATTTTTGTAGAATCTGCAAAGGGATATTTTTGAGACATTTGAAGCCTATAGTGAAATAGTAAATATCTTCACATGAAAACTAGACAGGAGAATTCTGAGAAACTTCATTCTGATGTGTGCATTAACCTCACCGAATTTAACCTTTCTTTTGATTGAGAAGTATGGAAATGGTGGTCTTTTAGAATCTGGAAAGGGATATTTCTTAGCCCTTTGAGGCCTATGGTGAGACTGGAAATATCATCGCATGAAAACTAGACCGAAGCTTTCGGAGAAACTTCTTTGAGATGTGTGCTTTCACCTCACAGAGTAAAACACTTTCTTTTGATTGAGCAGTTTGGAAACACTCTTTCTGTGACATCTGTAAATGGATATTAGGAGTGCTTTGAGGCCAATGGTGACAAAGGAAGTATCTTCACATAAAAACTACACAGAAGTTTTCTGAGAAACTACTTGTTGATGTGTCCATTGATGTAACAGAGTTAAAACTTTCTTTTTATTGAGCAGTTTGGATACAGTCTTTTTGTAGAATCTGCAAAAATATTTGTGAGCCCTTTATTGCCTATGGTGAAAGAGGAATCTTCTTCACATGTAAACAAGACAGAAGCATTCTGAGGAACGTCTTCGTGACGTGCGCATTCATCTCACATAGTTGAAACTTTCTTTGGATTGAGCAGTTTTGAAACAGTCCTTTTGTAGGATCTGCAAGGGGATATTTCTGAGCCCATTGAGTACTGTGATGCAATGTGAAGTATCTTCACATAAAAACTAGACAGACGCTTTCTAAGAAACTTCGTTGTGATGTGTGCTTTCGTCTCACAGAATTGAAACTATCCTTTGATTGAGGAGTTTGGAAACACTCTTTTTCTAGTGTCTGCAAATGGATATTTGGAGAGCTTTTGAGGCCCGTGGTGAAAAACGAAATATCTTCACGTAAAAACTAAACAGAAGCTTTCTGAGAAACTCCCTTGCGATGTGTGCATTCACCTCACCGAGTGGAAACTTTCTTTTGATTGAGCAGATTGGAAAGAGGCTTATCGTACAATCTGCAAAGGGAGAATTCTGATCCGTTTGAGGCCTATGGTGAAAGAGAAATATCTTCCCATAAGAACTAGACGGAAGCATTCCAAGAAATTTTTTGTGATGTGTCCATTCACGTCACAGAGTTGAACCTCTCCTTTGATTGGGCAGTTTGGAAACAGTCTTTTTGTAGAACCTGCAGAGGGATATTTGTGAGCCCTTTATGGCCTGTGGTGAAATACGAAGTATCTTCACCTAAAAACTAGACAGAAGGTTTCTGAGAAACTTCTTGGTGATGTGTGCCTTCATCTCACAGTGTTGAACCTTTCTTTTGATTGAGCAGTTTGGAAAGTCTCTCTGTAGAATCTGCAAATGGATATTTGGAGATATTTGAGTCCCGTGCTGAAAAAGGAAGTATCGTCACCTAAAAACCAGACAGAAGATTTCTGAAAAACCTCTTTGTGATGTGTGAATTCATGTCACAGAATTCAACCTTTCTTTCAGTTGAGCAGTTTGGAAACAGCCTTTGGTAGAAGCTGCAGAGGGAAATTTCTTAGCTGCTTGAGGCCTATGGTGAAAAAGAAATATCTTCACAGAAAAACTAGACAGAAGCTTTCTGAGAAACTTCTTCGTGATGTGTCCATTCATCTCACAGAGTTAAACCTTTCTTTTGATTGAGGAGTTTGGAAAACGTCTTTTCTTAGAATCTGCGAAGGGATATTTGTGAGCCCTTTATGGCCTTTGTTGGAATATGAAATATCTTCACATAAAAAGTAGACAGAAAGCTTTCTGACAAATTCCTTGGTGATGTGCACGTTTGTCACACGGAATTGAACCCTTCTTCTGATTGAGCAGTTTGGAATCAATCTTTTTGTAGAATCTGTGAATGTGTATATAGAGAGTTTTAAGGCCTAGGGTGCCAAAGGCAATGTCTTCACATAAAAACGACACAGTAGCTTTTTGAGAAAACTCTTTGTGACATTTCCATTCATCTCTAATAGTTGACCATTTCCTTTCATTGAGCAGTTTGGAAGCAGTCTTTTTCTACAAACTGCAAAGGGATATTTCTGAGCGGTTTGGGGCCAACGGTGAAAAATAAATATCTTCCCATGAAAACTAGACAGAAGCATTTTGAGAAACTTCTTTTTGATGTGTGTATTCATCTCACAGAGTTGAACCTTTCTTTTGATTTAGCAATTTGGAGAAAGTCTCTTGGTAGTATAAGTGGAGTTATATTTGCGAGCGGTTTAAGGCCTATGGTGCCAAAGGAAATACCTTCACATAAAATGCAGACAGAGGCTTTCCGAGAAACTTCTTTGTGATGTGTGCTTTCGTCTCACAGAGTTGCGCCTTTCCTTTGATTGACCAGTTTGGGAACATTCTTTTTGTAGAATCTGCAAATGGATATTTGGAGCAATTTGTGGCCTACGGTGAAAAAGGAAATATCTTCACATAAAAACTAGACAGGAGAATCCTGAGAAACTTCTTTTTGATGAGTGCATTCATTTCACATAGTTGAAACATGCTATATGGGCCAGTTTGGAAACAGTCTTTTGGTAGAGTCTGCAGACAGATATTTTTGAGGGGCTTAAAGACTATGGTGAAAAAGGAAACATCTTCACATAGCAACCAGACAGAAGCAACCTGAGAAACGTCTTTGGAATGTGTTCATTCATCTCACAATGTTGAACGTTTCTTTTGATTGAGAAGTTTGTAAGGAGAACATTTGTAGAATCTGCAAAGGGGTATATGTGAGCCCCTTGATTCCTATGGCAAAATAGGAATTATCTTGAGATAAAAGCGAGACAGAAGATTTCTGAGAAACTTTTTTGTGATGTGTGCTTTCATCTCACAGAGTTGAAAATTAATCTTGATTGAGCAGTTTGGAAACAGTCTTTTCGTATCATCTGCAAACGGATGTTTGGGGCGCTTTGTGGCCTAAGGTGAAAATGGAAACATCTTCACATAAAAACTAGACAGAAGCAATTCTGAGGAACTTCTGTATGATGTGTGCATTCATCTCAGATAGGTGAAATTTTCTTTTGATGGAGCAGTTTGGAAACAGTCTTTTTATAGTATCTGCAGAAGGATATTCGTGAGCGGTGTAAGGCCTATGGTGAAAAAGGAAATATCTTCACATTAAAACCAGACAGAAGCCTTCTGAGGAACTTCTTTGTGATGTGTGCGTTCATCTCGCCGTGTTGAAACTTTATTTTATTTGAGCAGTTTAGAGACAGTCTTTCTCTGCAATCTGCAAAGGTCTAACTCTGAGCCCTTTGAGGTCTATGGTGAAAAAGAAATGTCTTCACATTTAAACTAGACAGATGCATTCTGAGGAACTTCTTCGTGATGTCTCCATTCATCTGACAGAGTTGAAGGTTTCTTTTAATTCAGCACTTTGGAAAGCATATTTTTGTAGAATCTGCAAAGGGATATTTTTGAGACATTTGAAGCCTATAGTGAAATAGTAAATATCTTCACGTGAAAACTAGACAGGAGAATTCTGAGAAACTTCATTCTGATGTGTGCATTAACCTCACAGAATTTAACCTTTCTTTTGATTGAGAAGTATGGAAATGGTGGTCTTTTAGAACCTGGAAAGGGATATTTCTTAGCCCTTTGAGGCCTATGGTGAGACTGGAAATATCATCACATGAAAACTAGACCGAAGCTTTCGGAGAAACTTCTTTGAGATGTGTGCTTTCACCTCACAGAGTTAAACACTTTCTTTTGATTGAGCAGTTTGGAAACACTCTTTCTGTGACATCTGTAAATGGATATTAGGAGTGCTTTGAGGCCAATGGTGACAAAGGAAATATCTTCACATAAAAACTACACAGAAGTTTTCTGAGAAACTACTTGTTGATGTGTCCATTAATGTAACAGAGTTAAAACTTTCTTTTTATTGAGCAGTTTGGATACAGTCTTTTTGGAGAATCTGCAAAAAATATTTGTGAGCCCTTTATTGCCTATGGTGAAATAGGAATCTTCTTCACATGTAAACAAGACAGAAGCATTCTGAGGAACATCTTCGTGACGTGCGCATTCATCTCACATAGTTGAAACTTTCTTTGGATTGAGCAGTTTTGAAACAGTCCTTTTGTAGGATCTGCAAGGGGATATTTCTGAGACCATTGAGTACTGTGATGCAATGTGAAGTATCTTCACATAAAAACTACACAGACGCTTTCTAAGAAACTTCGTTGTGATGTGTGCTTTCGTCTCACAGAATTGAAACTATCCTTTGATTGAGGAGTTTGGAAACACTCTTTTTCTAGAATATGCAAATGGATATTTGGAGAGCTTTTGAGGCCCGTGGTGAAAAACGAAATATCTTCACGTAAAAACTAAACAGAAGCTTTCTGAGAAACTCCCTTGCGTTGTGTGCATTCACCTCACCGAGTGGAAACTTTCTTTTGATTGAGCAGATTGGAAAGAGGCTTATCGTACAATCTGCAAAGGGAGAATTCTGATCCGTTTGAGGCTTATGGTGAAAGAGAAATATCTTCCCATAAAAACTAGACGGAAGCATTCCAAGAAATTTTTTGTGATGTGTCCATTCACGTCACAGAGTTGAACCTCTCCTTTGATTGGGCAGTTTGGAAACAGTCTTTTTGTAGAACCTGCAAAGGGATATTTGTGAGCCCTTTATGGCCTGTGGTGAAATACGAAGTATCTTCACCTAAAAACTAGACAGAAGGTTTCTGAGAAACTTCTTGGTGATGTGTGCCTTCATCTCACAGTGTTGAACCTTTCTTTTGATTGAGCAGTTTGGAAAGTCTTTCTGTAGAATCTGCAAATGGATATTTGGAGATATTTGAGGCCCGTTTTGAAAAAGGAAGTATCTTCACCTAAAAACCAGACAGGAGATTTCTGAAAAACCTCTTTGTGATGTGTGAATTCATGTCACAGAATTCAACCTTTCTTTCACTTGAGCAGTTTGGAAACAGTCTTTGGTAGAAGCTGCAGAGGGAAATTTCTTAGCTGCTTGAGGCCTATGGTGAAAAAGAAATATCTTCACAGAAAAACTAGACAGAAGCTTTCTGAGAAACTTCTTCATGATGTGTCCATTCATCACACAGAGTTAAACCTTTCTTTTGATTGAGGAGTTTGGAAAACGTCTTTTCTTAGAATCTGCGAAGGGATATTTGTGAGCCCTTTATGGCCTTTGTTGAAATATGAAATATCTTCACATAAAAAGTAGACAGAGGCTTTCTGACAAATTTCTTGGTGATGTGCACGTTTGTCACACGGAATTGAACCCTTCTTCTGATTGAGCAGTTTGGAATCAGTCTTTTTGTAGAATCTGTGAATGTGTATTTAGAGAGTTTTAAGGCCTAGGGTGCAAGAGGCAATGTCTTCACATAAAAACGACACAGTAGCTTTTTGAGAAAACTCTTTGCGACATTTCCATTCATCTCTAATAGTTGACCATTTCCTTTCATTGAGCAGTTTGGAAGCAGTCTTTTTCTACAAACTGCAAAGGGATATTTCTGAGCGGTTTTGGGCCATCGGTGAAAAATAAATGTCTTCCCATGAAAACTAGACAGAAGCATTTTGAGAAACTTCTTTTTGATGTGTGTATTCATCTCAAAGAGTTGAACCTTTCTTTTGATTTAGCAATTTGGAGAAAGTCTCTTGGTAGTATAAGTGGAGTTATATTTGCGAGCGGTTTAAGGTCTATGGTGCCAAAGGAAATACCTTCACATAAAATGCAGACAGAGGCTTTCCGAGAAACTTCTTTGTGATGTGTGCTTTCGTCTCACAGAGTTGCGCCTTTCTTTTGATTGACCAGTTTGGGAACATTCTTTTTGTAGAATCTGCAAATGGATATTTGGAGCAATTTGTGGCCTACGGTGAAAAAGGAAATATCTTCACATAAAAACTAGACAGGAGAATCCTGAGAAACTTCTTTTTGATGAGTGCATTCATTTCACATAGTTGAAACATGCTATATGGGCCAGTTTGGAAACAGTCTTTTTGTAGAGTCTGCAGACAGGTATGTTTGAGTGGCTTAAAGACCATGGTGAAAAAGGAAACATCTTCACATAGCAACCAGACAGAAGCAACCTGAGAAACGTCTTTGGGATGTGTTCATTCATCTCACAATGTTGAACGTTTCTTTTGATTGAGAAGTTTGTAAGGAGAACATTTGTAGAATCTGCAAAGGGGTATATGTGAGCCCCTTGATTCCTATGGCAAAATAGGAATTATCTTGAGATAAAAGCGAGACAGAAGATTTCTGAGAAACTTTTTTGTGATGTGTGCTTTCATCTCACAGAGTTGAAAATTTCTTTTGATTGAGCAGTGTGGAAACAGTCTTTTCGTATCATCTGCAAATGGATGTTTGGGGCGCTTTGTGGCCTAATGTGAAAATGGAAACACCTTCACATAAAAACTAGACAGAAGAATTCTGAGGAACTTCTGTATGATGTGTGCATTCATCTCAGATAGGTGAAATTTTCTTTTGATGGAGCAGTTTGGAAACCGTCTTTTTATAGTATCTGCAGAAGGATATTCGTGAGCGGTGTAAGACCTATGGTGAAAAAGGAAATATCTTCACATAAAAACCAGACAGAAGCTTTCTGAGGAACTTCTTTGTGATGTGTACATTCATCTCACCGTGTTGAAACTTTATTTTATTTGAGCAGTTTAGAGACAGTCTTTCTCTGCAATCTGCAAAGGTCTAATTCTGAGCCCTTTGAGGTCTATGGTGAAAAAGAAATATCTTCACATTTAAACTAGACAGAAGCATTCTGAGGAACTTCTTCGTGATGTCTCCATTCATCTGACAGAGTTGAAGGTTTCTTTTAATTCAGCACTTTGGAAAGCATATTTTTGTAGAATCTGCAAAGGGATATTTTTGAGACATTTGAAGCCTATAGTGAAATAGTAAATATCTTCACGTGAAAACTAGACAGGAGAATTCTGAGAAACTTCATTCTGATGTGTGCATTAACCTCACAGAATGTAACCTTTCTTTTGATTGAGAAGTATGGAAATGGTGGTCTTTTAGAATCTGGAAAGGGATATTTCTTAGCCCTTTGAGGCCTATGGTGAGACTGGAAATATCATCACATGAAAACTAGACCGAAGCTTTCGGAGAAACTTCTTTGAGATGTGTGCTTTCACCTCACAGAGTTAAACACTTTCTTTTGATGGAGCAGTTTGGAAACACTCTTTCTGTGACATCTGTAAATGGATATTAGGAGTGCTTTGAGGCCAATGGTGACAAAGGAAGTATCTTCACAGAAAAACTACACAGA